>NC_000006.12:18090303-18241818 GCF_000001405.40 Homo sapiens
TTGGTGTTTTTACAGTTGAATGTTAAAGCTTTTATAAGAAACTGATGAGGGCTGGGTGTCTCATTTGCATAAGGCATGAATTTCTGGTAGCTCCAGCCAGTCCTCCTAATGTACACATGGGCCCTTAGCTTGAGTTACTCCATATTGTTTTGTTCCCCTTACTGCATATGTGTCAGGGGACAGAATTTTGCAGGGTGGGCATGTCTAGGCAAGTCACCTGTGTAGACTTTCTTATCTTAGAGACTGTGGGCATGTCTTAGGCAAGCCCTGCCCCCACCCCTCTCCCCCAGGGCAAGTTCTCTTATCTGTGCCTGCAGCTTGATTTTTCAGGCTGTTCTTTTCTTTGAAAGAATTCAACCGAGGACCCACCCTAACTGCCTGCCTGACTGATTTCCTTCTTTCTTGTCTTTCAGCACTAGGTTGTACTACTTGCTTGTAGAGATCATTTCAATGTCTGAGATGTTACTTAAAAGCCTTATTATAATCATCTTCCCACAGCCTGATTTCTTAGGACTCCAGTCTAATTTCTATTGGGCCTTCCTTAAGCTTCTAACTAATTTTAGAATTCATACACTGGTCAGAAAAAGTACAAACAGTGACAGCCAAAAGACATTTGGGGAAATAATTTATTTAGAAAAAACTGCTGAAAAATAGCCTGCTGATTTGGCCAAATGGAAGTGGTCAATGGGCTCTCTGTGGTAGACGCAGCTTTTTTCTTTTGGTCTGAACGTTATGTGATTTCCTCCCTCCTTGCCATTGCTCACACTGTCTCCTCTGCCAGATCCTTCATCTGTTCACTCCTATTCACCCTTTTAAGCCTCTGAGAATTTCCTTGAGGAAGCCTTCCCTGCCCTCTCCCACTATCCAGTCCTGGGTTGGATTACTACGGTTACGCATTACTCCATAGTTCACCCCAGAAGTGTCGTGCATGTATCTATCACTATTGGAACGGGCTGTCTAGTGATCTGCTTCCCTCACTGGTTTGTAAGCTTCTTGTGATGCCTTATCCATCTTGAACCCTTGCACATAGTTACAGCTTACTAACCCTTGCAGAATGACTGGTTCACTGCCTGGTAGAATAAAGGATCTCCTTTTCCAAGAACCTTGACCACCTGAGCCTCTCCTAGGTGAAGGATGTAAAGGAAGAATTGGCTGCACAAAGAGCTCAGAAAGTAGAACTCTTCCTGGTGGATGAAAATAACAGCTGGTCAGAGCCCAAGTGTCATCTGAAAGGGAACATTGAAAATCAGACCACACCCCTGGACTAGGCTAGTTCTTCCTTATTTGAAGGTGTGTTGCTCTTTTGTCAGTTGTCACACCCCTCGAGAAGGTGTTGTTATTTGCTAATAGTTTGAATGATGCAAGAAGTAGGTGCCCTGAGAGTCTCTGGGCCTGTTATGAAGAAATGGTTTTCATTATAGATCACTTGGTACAATGGGCATAAATGAATACAAGGCCTGAAGATAATACTGTATGAGACAGCCACTTGGCTCATTTACTTCCCTCATTTACTTCCATACTTTTTTAGCTCAAGGGCATTCACTTGCAGTTCACCTCTGGCGACCTTCCTCTAAAGACTAGTTCTCAAGCCTCATCAGTTTAAGAATCACCTAGGATCCTTGTTAAAGTGCAGCTACCTGACCCTGTTCCCAGAGATTCTGGTGCAGTGGGTCTGGGTATAGCCCAGGGGGTTTCCTTTTTACTGTCCCAGGTAATTCTTTTTTTTTTTTTTTTTTGAGGTGGAGTCTCACTGTGTCACCCAGGCTGGAGTGCAATGGCGTGATCTTGGCTCACTGCAACCTCTGCATCCCAGGCTCAAGCAATCCTCCTGCCTCAGCCTCTCGAGTAGCTGGGACTACAGGTGAGTGCCACCACACTTGGCTAATTTTTGTATTTTTAGTACAGACAGGGTTTCACCATGTTGGCCAGGCTGATCTCGAACTCCTGACCTCAAGTGATCCACCTGCCTCAGCCTGCCAAAGTACTGGGATTATAGGTGACAGCCACTGCCCTCAACCCTGTTCCAGGTAATTCTGAGTCAAGTGAGCTGTTGTCCACATTTCTGGAAACATGACTTTAAAATTTCAAAGTCTTTCTTCAGGTTGGTATGAACACTATTTTCCTTTCATTAGTGATAGCCCAAGGAAAAGCCCTTTTTAAGTTAGAAGATTTGATCGTATAGTGTGTCTGGGACGTGGTGAGAAAAAAACTCAGTAAACTGAGAAAGTAGAGATGGTGGTAGAGATGGTGGTGGAGATGGTGGTAGAGATGGTGGTGGAGGATGGGGAATGTTGGCATTTTTCACTGGCCTTCAGAGCACCATACCCCCTGGGAAGTGAAGTACAGGGAGAAATGGAGAAATGGAGGAATGGAGGAGATGGCCTATATTGGAAGTGGGGCTGCAGAATGGGGGACTGATGGGGCTGGAAAGCTTCCAGCTTATAGTAAGTCAGCACTTGCAAGTACAGCTTTATTATCTTACTTTAAGAACCGTAGATATCCTCTATGTCAGAACCATTCAAATTTAGCATCAATCTTAATACGTTTCCCTAAGCCACATATAAGTGATGTTGCTATTATCAGTAGTTTTAAATTGCCCAGTCCCAGTGGCTTTAATTAGAATGGGAAATTGAGAGGCGAGTAGACATCTGGCCAACCTGACTCTTGCAAAAGCCGCACTGAGGCCTGCAGTGGATGGGACCTCATGCTGTCTCACCTTTCCCGACTCTCAGCAGGGCATTTTGCTAAAGAACACCTGGGAGGGGCTCTCAAAAAGGTGGTAACCAACTAGGCGTGGGCTATTTCTGGAATGTCCCTCCTAATTCTTTTTTTTTTTTGAAATGGAGTCTTGCTCTGTCATCCAGGCTGGAGCGCAGTGGTGCGATGTAATCTCCACCTCCCGGGTTCAAGCGATTCTCCTGTCTCAGCCTCCCGAGTAGGGGATTACAGGTGCACACCACCACGCCTGGCTAATTTTTGTATTTTTAGTAGAGATGGGGTTTCACCATGTTGGCCAGGCTGGTCTCTAACACTTGACCTCAGGTGATCCACTTGCCTCGGCCTCCCAAAGTGCTGGAATTACAGGCATGAGCCACCATGCCCAGCCTTCCCTCCCAATTCTTATTTTCCACCCTCGTCCCTCTTAATTATCATTGGAATTCATAATTATTGCTCTCTAAAGAATACAATCTGCTGTTTTCAGAGTGCTCCTGCCCCGTGCAGCTTCCCCATTTTTGCCCTGATGCCAGCTAGCCACTAGTATAGAAGGCAAGTGGAGCAGATTCTCAGCTCTGCATCTGTTCAACAAACATTATCTTTAAAATCATAGTAAAATCTACATAGCAAAATGTACCACCTTAATCTTTTTTTTTTTTGAGATGGAATCTTGCTCTGTCTCCCAGGCTGGAGGGCAGTGGCGCGATCTTGGCTCACTGCAACCTCCGCCTCCTGGGTTCAAGCAATTCTCTGCCTCAGCCTCTTGAGTAGCTGGGATTACAGGCAACTGCCACCATGCCCAGCTAATTTTTTGAATTTTTAGTAGAGACAGGGTTTCACCATCTTGGGCAGGCTGGTCTTACAGCCTGGTCTTACAGGCTGGTCAAACTCCTGACCTGGTGATCCACCCGCCTCGGTCTTCCAAAGTGTTGGGATTACAGGCATGAAACACTGTACCCAGCCCACCTAAACCATTTTTAAGTGTATAGTTCAGTGCCATGAAGTACATTCATTTTGTTGCACTACTATCATCATTATCACAATCCAGCCAGAGAACTCTTTCATCTGCAACACTGAAACTCCATACCTATTAAACAATAACTTCCCAGTCCTCTCTTCCCCCAGCTTCTGGAACCACCATTCTACTTTCTCTATGAATTTGATGGCTTTGTGTGTCTCTTGTAAGTGGAATCATACAGTATTTATTTGTCTTTTTGTGACTGGCTTATTTCACTTAGCATAATGTTTTCAATATTCATCCCTGTTATAGCATGTGTCAGAATTTCCTTCCCCTTGAAGCTAAAAAATACCCCATTGTACCACACATTTTACTTATTCATTCATTCATCAAAGGACACTTAAGTTGCTTTCTGGGCTATTGTGAATAATGCAGCTATGAACATGGATGTACAGATATCTCTTTGAGACCGTGCTGTCAATTATTTGAAGTGTATTCCTAGAAGTGGAATAGCTGAATCATATGGTAATTTAAAAAAATTTTTTTGAGAAACAATTATACTGTTTTCCATAGCAGTGGCACCATTATGCGTTCCTATCAGCAGAGCACAAGCGTTCCAATCACCCCACGTTCTTGCCAACACTTGGTATTTTCTGTTTTGATAGTAGCCATCCTAATGAGTGTGAGGTGGCACTTCATGGTGGTTTTGATTTGCATTTCTCTAATGATTAGAGATTTTGAGCATCTTTTCATGTGCTTGTTTGGCATTTGTGTATCTTCTTTGGAGAAATTAAAGAAGTATTTTTTGATCATCTGTGGGTTGCATATCCAATAGACATTTCCTCTCATCTTCCTGACTGGGGTTGAATTTTATCTCTCCTTGACATGATTCAGGGGTAATTCCTGATTAGTCTAAGTCAGTGGTTCTCAATCCTGGCTGCACATTAGAGTCACCAAGGGAAGCTTTAAAAAATACCCAGGTTAGGGCCAGGTGCAGTGGTTCATGCCTGTAATCCCAGCTCTTTGGAAGGCCGAGGCAAGTGAATCCACTTGAGATCAGGGGTTTGAGACCAGCCTGGCCAACATGGTGAAACCCCATCTACAAAAAAAAAAAAAAAAATTTAGCCAGGCATGGTGGGAGACACCTGTAATCCCAGCTACTCAGGAGGCTGAGGCAGGAGAATCACTTGAACCCAGGAGGCAGAGGTTTCAGTGAGCTGAGATCACACCACTGTACTTCAGCCTGGGCAACAGTGAGACTCCGTCTTGGGGACAAAAAAAAAAAAGAAACAAAAAAACCCAGGTTCAGGCCTCCTTCCCAGACCAATGAAATTAGAATGTCCAGAGGTATTCCTGGGCATTGGTGTTTTTAGAAATTTCCAGCTAAGCCCCAGATATTCAAATGTGCTGCCATAGTCCAGGCACAGTGGCTCATGCCTGTAATCCTAGCACTTTGGGAGGCTGAGGTGGGTGGATCTCTTGAGCCCAGGAGTTAGAGACCAGCCTGGGCAACACAGGGAGACTCCATCTCTACAGCTTTTTTTTTTGAAAATTAGCCAGGCATGGTGGCGCACACCCACAGTCCCAGCTACTCAGGAGACTGAGGTGTGATAATCACCTGAGCTCAGGGAGTTGAGTCTGCAATGAGCCATGATCATGCAACTGCACTCCAGCCTGGTGACAGAGTGAGACTCTGTCTCTTAAAAAATAAAATAAAATAAAATAAATGGCCTATTTAAGCTGTTTTGAGTTGGGTTTTCTGCTGAAAGTATCTCAATTGTACACTTACTATGTACTAGGGATTTCAGGAAGGTACAGGACTATTCTTATCTGTTATGATAGAAAAAAGGAACCAAGGCATTGTCTTAAATAGACTTAACCCCTGAATCCTCATGTTGAAAGTCTGAAGCTCTACTGTCCAAGGTTTTTAGGCTTCACTTAGAAGCAGGTGAGACAGGAAACCAGGAAAGTTGGACGGGCTGTATAATCAGCCGACAGATCTGAACTGGAGATATCCCAAACTTAAATGTAGAGCTGGAAGCATTCTCAACTTAAATGCTGTCTCTTCTACAGCTTACCTGGTGGTCCAGGCTGGCCAAGTCCTTAAATCTGGGTCAGTTACAGGGCTTGGATGCAACATGACAAGGGAAAGAAGTGTGTTCAACGAGAACATTCTGAGTCCAAACCACGTAAGTCTTTAGAGATTAAATTTAACACCTTGGTGTGATATGTGAGCCCAAGCAAGTAACTTATTTAAACTAATGGCCAGCCAGGTAGTACTTATCATGTTACATGATTCTCAGGTTTATAGCAAGAGTAATCTTCTCTAGCCTCTTCTTCCCTGGAAGAGACCTAGGTGTTATCAGATCAGGCCTCACATCTACTACAGTTTCCTTCAATTATACCTGTGAGGGTGGCTTCTGAGTAGGTAGTGAATTCACCATTTAGTGAGTCCCAAAAGTAAGGCCAAGTGAGGAAGCACATGAGATATTCTGTTGGCTGGCCACAGTTCTCTGTTGATGTGTTAATTAGAGCGTACATTCAGGACTGACAAATCCCAAGATACACCAAAATGTTAAAAAACAAAACAAACAAAAAAAAACAACCAATCAGCTGCTTAGCTAACCGCACTGTGTGACAATAAAGTTTTGGTTCAATATAAAGTAGTGAAAAGGGCATGTATGTGTCTAGGAAAGCCATTGAAGTGGAAGATACTGAAAGCACACTTTCTGTCGACCTTTCAGAAGCTATTTTCTAATCTATTCTTGTACAGAGTACTAAAATTTGAAGTGAATGCTGATAAGTATTTATAAGTTTATTCAGATCTCCACCTGTCAATAACTTACACCTAGCCTTTGAAATTGCTTGTTTGGCTGTGTAGTCTCTATCATGAAGCCAAAGGCCTGCATTAGTCTTCCTGAAACTCCTTAAAATAGAGACTTACATAAAATGCATCTCAGTTTTAGAATGAATGTGAAAATGTTGGGGAAAAAAAGTGCAAGCAAGAGAAAAAGCCTATGGCATTCATTTAATTGGATCAGCACTAATGTTGGTTCCAACGCTGTGTTGTTTGCATGGAGGCACCACAGTGATGCCCGCAAGGCTGTCATTCGGTCTGTGAAGACCCTTGAAAATAAAGGACTTTTGAGGGGCTGAGCGTGGTGGCTCACGCCTGTAATCCCAGTACTTTGGGAGGCTGAGGCGGGCAGATCACTTGAGGTCAGGAGTTTGAGACTAGCCTGGCCAACGTGGTGAAACCCCATCTCTACTAAAAATACGAAAATATTAGCCCGGCATGGTGGTGCACTCCTGCAATCCCAGCTACTTGGGAGGCTGAGGCAGGAGAATCGCTTGAACCTGGGAGGTGGAGGTTGCAGTGAGCCGAGACTGCGCCGCTGCACTCCAGCCTGGGTGACAGAGCAAGACTCCGTCTCAAAATAAATAAATAAATAAATAAATAAATAAATAAATAAATAAATAAAACAAATAGGGAATGTTGAGTGTGGAAACTATCAATGAAGATAAATTCTACCCAGTGTGCAAACTATACTAAAAATTTCTGCTAGAATTTTAAGGACACAAGCGTAATGTAGAAGGCACAGAATACTTTTTAGGACAATAAAAGACAGCACCATACTTGGTGACGACTGTGGCAAATGTTAATCAGGGAGGCTGATTCTTTTAGTCAAAACACAAATGTCGTCCTAGACAGACGGTCAGCTTGTCAGCTTGTCAGGGGAGAAGAGGCTAAGTGCTAAGCTGGAGCTGACTTTCTTGTGAGATGCTGGAAGTCAGGAGAGGGGCTTCCGATGTTTGGGAACTTCGTGGAGATGTTCTGCCACTGGGCTTGGGCCTGGGAAGATGAGTAGGACTCAACAAGGGGGACAGTGGCTTTCTTGGCACTTCTGGGCAATCTGTTGAAAGCATCTTTATGTACGGCTCCCTCCCACAAGCCCACCTTGGGGTGTGAGAGTATTGAGATATAATTATTATAAGTCAGGGCTGATCTTGCCCTTCGGAGAGTGTTCAAGCTGATCATTCTTCATTAGACAGAACTCGCCAGAGACATTGTCTCATCAGAACGCTTCACCCTGCAAGTAAAGGCCACACACAAAGAGACTGAGAAAAGGAACCACAGCCAGAGAAGCAACCAAATACAGAAACTTGGAGAAACAGGAGGGAGTATGAAAATTGAAGGTGATAATTTAAAATGGAGAACTGGGCCAGGCGCAATGGCTCACGCCTGTAATCCCAGCACTTTGGGAGGCCAAGGTGGGCAGATCGCTTGACCCCAGGAGTTTGAGACCAGCCTGGGCAACATGGCGAAACGCCATCTCTACAAAAAATACAAAAATTAGCCAGGCGTGGTGGCTCATGCCTGTAGTCCTGGCTACTCCGGAAGCTGAGGTGGGAGGATGGCTTGAGCCCAGGAGGCAGCAGTTGCGGTGAGCTGGGATTGTGCCACTGCACTCCAGCCTGGGTGACAGAGTCAGACCCTGTTTCAAAAAAATTAAAATTAAAAAATTAAAATTAAAATAAATAAATAACATAAAAATTAAAAGGATATCCAGAAAGAACACCAAAGAAGAGGGTAGAACTGAATCAAGGGATAAGATGATTGTTCAACCCTGGAAAACAATGTGAAGATTCATGCCTCTAATGCTGCATTTCCCAGAACACTAGATCTGTGGTAAGATGAGTTTGAAAACACTGTATCCTATGTCTAACCCCACCCTGCCCCATTTATAATGCAAAACAGCTTATTAAAGGCTCTGAGAAATACTGCAGTAAAGAAACCAATTTAAGCCACACTTTTTTTTTCCAAGATGGAGTCTTGCTCTGTCACCCAGGCTGGAGTGTAGTGGCGCAGTCTTGGCTCACTGCAACCTCCGCCTCCCGGGTTCAAGTGATTCTCCTGCCTCAGCCTCCTGAGTAGCTGGGAATACAGGCGCCTGCCACCACACTTGGCTAATTTTTATATTTTTTTTTGTAGAGACGGGGTGTCACCATGTTGGCCAGGCTGGTCTCGAACTCCGGGCCTCAAGTGATCTGCCCACCTCAGCCTCTCAAGGTGCTGCGATTACAGATGTGAGCCACCATGCCCAACCAACTCATACATTTTATTTATTTATGTATTTATTTATTTATTTATTTTGAGATTGGGTTTTGCTCTATCACCCAGGCTGGAGTGCAGTGGTGCTATCATAGCTCACAGTAACCTCAAACTCCTGGGCTCAAGCAGTCCTCCCGTCTCAGCCTCCCAAGTAGCTGGGAATACAGGCACATACCACCAGTAATTAACTCATTAATTTATTTAAATACAGAACTTCTTTTTCTGCATTACCGCATTCTAGAAACATTCTGTAGGGCTAGAGTTCTACACTACGCATTTGTTACTTGCTGTGTACTGTGTAGTCTCTCCTTATCCACGACGGTAAGTGCCAAGACCCCCCGTGGATGCCTGACACTGCAGATAGTACCAAAGCATATATACACTATTTTTTTTCCTATACATACATACCTATGATAAAGTTTAATTTATAAATTAGGCACAGTAATAGGCTAAGAACAACAATAATAAAATAACAACACACGCTGCAATAAAAGTTATGCAAATGTGATCCCTCTCTTTCTCAAATATCTTATTGTACTCTACTTATCCATTTTCAGACTGTGGTTGACCACAGGTAACTGAAACTGTGGAGGTGAAACTGTGGATAGGGGGGTGGAGACTACTGTATTAAGTAAACATTGTGGCCACAGGAAAAGTGTTTAATGATAGGAAGAAGCATGATACAATGAGAGAAACACCAAGCTAGGTTAGGAGTCGGGTGAGCTGATATAAGCTTGCTGACTCTAATTCTGCATGTCTATGTCCAAAAAAACCTATGTGCAGCTTATATTGCTGAAAATCCAAAATCAGAGAGAATTCAAATGACAGCAAGGTTTAGAACCTGGTTATTCTCCTACGTAGACTAATCAGCTTGTCCAAGTTACTTAATCTTTCCAGGCTGCAATTTACTCATTTGTAAAGTGGGCAAGTTAGACCTCGGGATCTTATGAGCCTGCCAAACTGTAAAACCTATGTGTCAAAAGAGCTCTAATAATCCAAAAAATCCTTTCAGTTGGTACCATGCAGCCCTCCTCCCACTAGTCAAGAAAAAAAAAAAAGTTCCAACAACTTATAAGTAGCTTGACTTCCCATTCAACACTCAAGGGAACCAAATTACTTTCTTCTATTGTGGAACTCTGAGCACAATTGAAAACCAGCTTCATTAGCTGCCTTGACACAAGGCTAAGGCAAATTCTGGAAATGCATATTGTTTTCTAGAAGTGTCTGCCCGGGACTCTCTTAAGGTTCTTCTAGACAAAGGTCATAGGTACCCAACTGAAGCTTGTTTAAAAACAGAGAATTTATATTGGCTCATTTGGGGTTGCATCTAGCTTTGAGAACAGAAAGATTTGAGGGCCCAAATAATGTTACATGGATGTTGTCTTCCTCAATCTCTCAGCTCTGCTTTCTTTTCAATGGGCCTCATTGTCAGGCAGGCTCACTGTACATGGTAACAAAGAGCGCTTTCTGCAGCTCTAGGCTTCATGGTCCTTAACTGCCACGCTTGAAAAAAAAGAGCACTTTACTCCAAATACTTGAAGCAAGATATTAATTGCTAAGAATTACTGAGCACTCACAACATGCCAGGCACTGTCCTAATGCACATGTATGAACTTACATAGGCCTCACCACAACTCTAGACAGCAGGTACTATTACATTTCCATGCTATAGACAAAGAACTAAGGCTCAGAGAGTCTAAATGGTGTGTTTACTTTCCGTACAAGTGATCTTGGGCAAATTAATCTCTCTGTGCCTCAGTTTCCTCATCTGAAAAATGCCAATAGCAACAATTTAGTAGGCTGTTTTGAGAGTTAGGTAAGTGTATTAGTCCGTTTTCATGCTACTGATAAAGACATACCCGAGACTGGGCAATCTACAAAAAAAAAAAAAAAAAAAAGAGGTTCAATTGGACTCAATTCCATGTGGCTGCGGAGGCCTCACAATCATGGCAGAAGGCAAGGAGGAGCAAGTTACGTCTTAGGTGGATGGCAGCAGGCAAAGAGAGAACTTGTGCAGAGAAACTCCCGTTTTTAAAACCATCAGATCTTGTGAGACCCATTCACTATCAGGAGAACAGCACGGGAAAGATCTGACCCCATGATTTAATCATCTCCCACTGGGTCCCTCCCACAACATGTGGGAATTATGGGAGCTACAAGATGAGATTTGGGTGGGGACACAGAGCCAAACCATTTCAGTAAGTATATGTAAGAACCAAAGGAGAGTATCCAACATAGAATCACTGCATGAAACAAGAAGCCAATAATTCTTGGTACCATTTCCACTTGCCATTCTCTTATTTCCTGCATCTTTCCCTTTAATGGTTCAGGAAAATTCAACTTTATAAATTCCATGGTCTGGCTGGGTGCAGTGAGTCATGCCTGTAATCCCAACACTGGGAGGATGAGGTGGGTGGATTGCTTGAGCCCAGGAGTTTAAGAGCAGCCTGGGCAAAATGGTGAAACCTCATCTCTACAAAAAATACAAAAATTAGCTGGGCGTGGTGGCATGCACCTGTAGCTCCAGCTATTTGGGAGGCTGAGGTGGGAGGATTGTTTGAGCCCAGGAGGCAGAGGTTGCAGTGAGAGGAGATGGTGCTACTGCTCTCCAGCCTGGGTGACAGAGGGAGACCTGGTCTCAAAAATAATAATAATAATAAATTCCGTGGTCTTTAGTAGCATTAGATGTGATAGAAAGGGACACAATGGATTACAGCTGTATCTGGATACAGGGAAGGAAGCCCAAAGCAGCAAAGCTAGGGCAAAGCTGAGACCGAGATGTAGTATGTACATTCAGAAGAGGAGCTGAAAGTAAGAACAAGGTCAAGGCTGTCAATCTAGCCTAGATGTTAGGCAGTAAGGAGACCTGTGCACTGGATGGCCAACCCCAGACATCAGGCAGGAAAACCTGTATAAGAGGCCTCTTATACTTCTCCTGCTGGGGCAGAAGCCAGCTTCAGAGTGTGCCAGCAGGAAAGCTGCAGGTGGTAGCCATTCTCCCCATGAGGAAGATGGTAATGCGTTAACTTGGCTGGAAGAGAGAGTATGGGACACAAGTGAAGGTCATATGCTGACGGGAAGCCTTTTATTGATGGTGATTGCATGAAGAGATGGTGCTAAATAGTATTCATAAATTATTTGGCAAGTTTCACAACAAAGATAGGATCTTACAGAAAATTTAACACACGCCCTAGCAGAAAATACTTAATTCAATTGAGAAATAGCCCATCAAATCAACCTGAGTGTGGTTTCCATTAGAACTGGAGCAGCTATTCTAGAATTTCCTGACCAAGCGATAGATGCCTGGAGTCAAAACTTTTCTGTTTTTTTGTTTGTTTGTTTTTGTTGTTCATTTGTTTATTTTTGAGACAAATTCTTGCTCTGTCACCCAGGCTGGAGTGCAGTGGCATGATCTCAGCTCCCTGCAACTTCTGCCTTTTGAGTTCAAGGAATTCTCCTGCCTCAGCCTCCAGAGTAGCTGGGACTATGGGCACACGCCAACATGCCTGGCTAATTTTTGTATTTTTAGGAGAGATGGGGTTTCACCATGTTGGCCAGGCTGGTCTCAAACTTCTGACCTCAGGTGATCCACCCGCCTCAGCCTCCCAAAGTGCTGGGATTACAGGTGTGAGCCACGGCACCCAGCCTGGAGTCAAAACTTTTCTGAGGCTGCATATTTCTCCTACGCTGTTCTTCAAAATTACTCACTGCTCTGACCTCTTTTAACATGCAGTTCCCAATCTATTAAGCAGAGCGACCAAGTGAAAGCTTGTGGTATCTTTAGCTTGAATATTTTGCGTCCACTTGGTCCCTCGGTAAGTGTGTAGGAGCTATGCCACCTGATTTACTGCAGGTGGACAAGGGGAGGACTCAGGCGATACTCTCAGCGCCAAAGTGTCTAGTACTGATCCCTCAGTGCTTGTTGGCAGGTGCCAAGCATCACAAGATGCCAAGAGCACAGAAGGAGAAGGCAGAAGGAAATCTTCAGTGTTAAACATCTCTGAACTAGGGAAATATTTCTAATGTCAGTTTGACTCCTCCTCTCATAAAATCTTTAGTTGTCATAATGAGAAAGGACTAAACATGAGAGGAAGTTACAAAACACTATGGGAAATATTTTATCGTAACATACATAAGTTTGTTCAAAATGGGCACTCTTGACCTAGGCAGATATTAATAGATTTACTACTGTGGTGTTTAGCTTAATGCCAACATGTCCTATCCTCAGATGCCCTGAAACACAGCTGTCATCTTGTCTTCTTTATATAACCCCAGAACCCTGACTGGCTACAGCTACAGAAAAAAAAGATCTTGGTATTGGTAACACAAAGAAATTATGCATGCTTAAATACAATTATTTACTTCTAGAATTTGTACTTCATTTTAGATGAATCATCTAGAATTTATGACATTAATCAGTCTGAAATTCTAGAGTTGCATATACGCCTGTTCCAATATGTGCCTTTTCTGCAGTAGCCATTTTGGGGTTATCTCTCCCCCTTCACAGTGACTTGAGCATGTCTTTACATAGCACTCCCCATTCTGTACCATCTTCTGGTTATCTTGCTCATCCCCATGCCAGGCCATTAGTCCCTTGAGGACATCCTTATATCCCACTGCCTAGCACATTGCTTAACATACAGTGAGCACATAGGACAGATTTACTGAATAAATGCTTGCCAAAAAATAAATAAATACATTAAAAAAATTTTAAATGGATAAACTTCCTTTCCAGTATGGTTGAAGAAGCTCCAACTGGCTGATCTGCCTACAGAAAACAACTACAGAAACACACACACACACACACAATTTCCTAGAGAGTAACAAGATATTGGAGAGCAACCAAAGGCAAGCAGATTTTAGAGAGGATTTGATCCTTGGGAAAAATAAAAAATGGCACTGGGTGAATGTGTTAGTTCGTCTCTGCATTGCTATAAAGAAATACTTTGGCCAGGCGCGGTGGCTCACACCTGTAATCCCAGAACTTTGGGAGGCCAAGGCGGGTGGATCATGAGGTCAGGAGTTCAAGACCAGCCTGGCCAAGATGGTGAAACCCCGTCTCTACTAAAAACTACAAAAAAATTAGCCAGGCACAGTAGCAGGTAACTGTAATCCCAGCTACTTGGGAGGCTGAGGCTGGAGAATTCACTTGAACCTGGGCGGCAGAGGTTGCAGTGAGCCAAGATCGCGCCACTGCACTCCAGCTCGGGTGACAGAGCGAGAATCTGTCTTAAAAAAAAAAAAAAAGAAAGAAAAGAAAAGAAAGAAAAATACCTCTGTGATGAGGTGGTGTGGTTCATCCCTGTAATCCCACCAATTTGGGAGGTGAAGGTGGGTGGATCACTTGAGGGCAGGACTTCAAGACCAGCCTGGCCAAGATGGTGAAACCCCATCTCTACTAAAAATACAAAAATTAGCTGGGCATTATGGTGGGCACCCATAATCCCAGCTACTCAGGAGGCTGAGGCATGAGAATCACTTGAACCTGGGAGGTGGAGGTTGCAGTGAGCTGAGATCACGCCACTGCACTCCAGCCTGGGCAACAGGGCTGGAGTCTAAACAACAACAACAACAGAACTTCTGGGTTATTTATAAAGAAAGGAGATTTAATCAGCTCACAGTTCTGCAGGCTCTACAGGAAGCATGGAAGCATGGCTCTGGCATCTGCTCAGCTTCTGCTGAGAACCTCAGGAAGCTTCCAACCATGGTGGAAGGTGAAGAAGGAGCAAGTGCATTGCACGAGAAGAGCAGGAGCAGGAAGGAGAGGGAGGAGGCGCCACACTTTTAAATTTTAAATAACCAGATCTTGCATGAACTCAGAGTGAAATCTCACTCATTACTGTGAGAATGGTGCTAAGCTATTCATGAGGGAATCTGCCCCTATGATCCAACACCCCTCACTAAGCCCCACCTCCAACATGGGGGATTACGTTTCAACATGAAATTTGGTGGGGACAAACATCCGAGTGAAATCAAAAAAGTTTTCCCATTTTCATGGCTTCTACCTTTGGGACTTGTCCCAGTCTGTGTCATGCAGTGTGGCTAAAACTTCAATGGAAAACCTTTAGTCATTTGGTCTGTTAATCAGAGAACTGCCAGAAAGTGAAAGAGAGGTTCTGAAGAGGAAAGAGTCAGAGAGTATGCCCCAAATTTTGTGCATACATAAACCCTGCCCAAATCTCTGGTTGGTCCCTAAACCATGTGTTTACCAGGCAAAATGTAAGCAACCTACCTAAGTAGAAAAGAATTGAACGGAAACTTAAGCCAATGATTAAAAAACATAATTTGTAGTTTGAGTCCAATCAGGTTAATTGTCTGTTACAACAAACAGACAAACAAAAAGTTTGACAATCTTAGAAGTAATATATCATAATTAAGATTCTCTACAACACAGCATTCGCAGTATCCAGAATATAATTCAAAATCTATCAAAATATGAAAAAAACAGAAAAATGTGATCCATTCTCAAGAGACAAGATTATCAGCTGAGATCAACCCTGAGTAATCCAGATGTTGGAATTATCAAACAAGAAATTTAAAGCAGTTATTTTAACTATGCTATGACATAAAAGAAAATATGCTTATAATGAATGCACAGATGGAAATTTAAGTAGCAAAATAGAAATAAGAACAAAATAAAAATTCTAAAAATAAAATTATAACATCAAAGATAGAAATTAACTGCACAGGCTTATCAGCAGACAGGAGACAACAAAGTAAAAGTCGATGAACTTGAGGATGGATAAATGAGACTATCCACTTGGAACAAGAGAGAGAAAATAGATTAAAAAAAAAGAGAGAGAACAGAATCAAGGACCTGTGGGATAATATCAAAAGATCTAATGTATGTATGGTTAGAGACCCAGAAGAAAAAGTGAGAGAGAATGGGGCAGAAAACATATTTGAAGAAACAATGGCCCAAAACTTCCCATATTTCATGAAAGACATAAATTTACAGTTTAGAGGAAATCAGTGAAATCTCAAACAGGATAAATATAAGGAAAACCACATCAAACACATCATAGTAAAACTGCTAAAATTTAAACATCAAGAAAAAATTCTGAAAACAGGCAAGATGAAGACACATTACAAGAAGGAAAACAATTATTCAAATTGCAATAACTGCTTATTAGACACAATGGAGGCTAGAAGGTAGTGGAACATCTTCAAAGTGCTCAAAGATAAAATGGATTGCCAGAATTCTATGTCCACAAATTTTTTTTCAAGGAAGAAGGCAAAATAAGGACATTTCCAAATAAAAGAAAATCAAAAGGATTTGTTATTAACAGATTTACACTAGAAAAAATGTTTAAGAAAATTCTTCAGGCTGAAGGAAAATGATACCAGTTGGAAACTCAGGTCTTCAGGAATGAATGAAAAGCCCCAGAAATGATGAATGTCTGAATAAATATAAAAGACTCTTTTCCTCTAATTGAGAAGAACTACACACATATGAGTCTTTAAAGTAAAAATTGTAACATTGTCTTGGAAGGTTTATATGTAAAACAGGTGTCAAAGTGTAAAAATTGGGCATAAAAAGACCTGTATGATTACAAGTTTTTTGCATTTAACATGAAGTGGTGCCAGACGCGGTGGCTCATGCCTGTAATCCCAGCACTTTGGGCAGCTGAGGTGAGTGGATCACCTGAGGTCAGGAGTTCAAGACCAACCTGACCAACATGGAGAAACCCCTTCTCTACTAAAAATACAAAATTAGCCGGGTGTGGTGGCGCATGCCTGTAATCCCAGCTGCTTGGGAGGCTGAGGCAGGAGAATCATTTGAACCCAGGAGGCAGAAGTTGTGGTTAGCTGAGATCACGCTATTGCACTCCATCCTGGGCAACAAGAGTGAAATTCCATCTCAAAAAAAAACAACAAAAAACAAAACAAAACAAAAACAAAAAACATGAATTGGTAATATTCCAAGTAGACTGTTTAAGAATATATATTAAATTTTCTAGACCAACCACTGAAAATAATGCAGAAAAATATGACTAAAAATGCTATAGATGAATTAAAACAGAATTCTGAAATATATCCAACTAATCCACAAGAAGACAGAGAAGAAAGAACAGAGGAAAAAAGTAGAGGGGATAAACAGAAAACAAATAATAAAATGGTAACTTGAAATCCAACCCTATCAAGAATTACATTAAATATTAATGGATGAAATAATACAATTAAAAGACAGAGACTGTCAGAATGGGCTTTTAAGAAGCATAACCCCATTGTATGCTTTCTACAAGAAATGCAATTTAAAAATAAAGACATAGACAGATTGAAAGTAAATTGATGAAAAATATACATCTACCATGCAAGGAGAGTGGCCATATTAATATCAGATAATAAACTTCACGGCAAAGAATATCATCAGAGATAAAGGGGGATAGTTCATAAAAGAGTTGGCTGGACCTGCTGCCTCAGGCCTGTAATCCCACCACTTTGGGAGGCAGAGGCAGATGGATCATTTGAATCCAGGAGTTTGAGATAAGCCTGGGAAACACAGCAAGTCCTCATTTCTACAAAAAAAATTTAAAAATTAGCCAGGTATGGTGGTGCGTGTCTGCAATCCCAGCTATTCAGGAGGTTGAAGTGGGAGGATCACTTGAGCCCAGGAGGTCATGGCTGCAGTGAGCCATGAACATACCACTGCACTTTAGCCTGGGAGACAGAGCAAGACCCTGTCTCAATTTTTAAATAAAAATAAACATAAACATGATATAAAATATCAATTTATCAGGAAGCCATTGCAATCATAATTGCAATTGTGCACATAATTGTGTATGTGCCTAAAAATAGAGCTTCAAAATATATATGGCAAAAATTGACAGAATTTAAAGGGAGTAACAGACATTCCATAATCATTACTACAGATTTTAACATCTCTTCTTAGCAAATGATAGAACAGCTAGACAAAAGAATTAGTAAAGACACAGGTGAAATGAACAATACTATTAACCACATTGGCCTAAATTACTATTTATAGAACACTATTTCCTACATAATATACATTCTTTCAAGTGCACATATTAAGTTGACCAAAATAGACCATCTGCCAGACCATAAAATAAATATGAAATCTAGAAAAATACCAAATGTGGCCGGACGTAGTGGCTCACATCTGTAATCCCAGCACTTTGGGAGGCCGAGGTGGGTGGATCACCTGAGGTCAGGAGTTTGAGACTAACCTGGCCAACATGGTGAAACCTCGTCTCTACTAAAAATACAAAAAATTACCTGGGCATGGTGGTGGGTGCCTGTAATCCCAGCTACTCTGGAGGCTAAGGCAGGAGAATTGCTTGAACCTGTGAGGTGGAGGTTGCAGTGAGCTGAGGTTGTGACATTGCACTCCAGCCTGGGCAACAAGAGCAAAACTGTGTCTCAAAAAAATAAACTAAAATAAATAGAAAAATGCCGAATGTTTAGAAATTAAATACCATATTTTGAAATAATTCATGAGTCAATGAAGAAATGAAAAAAGAAACTAAAAAATGTTTGAACCAAATGGTAATAAAAATACACATATCAAAATATCTGGGATGTTGCTAAATCTGCACTGAGGGAAATTCCTAGCTTTTAGTGCTTATATTAGAAAAGAATAAAGGTCTAAAATCAATATCCTACATTTCTACCTTAAAAAGCTAGAAAAACTACAATTAATCCAAAGTAAATAGAAAAAAAACCAACAAAAAACAAAAACATAAGAAGAAGAACAGGAATCAACGAAATAGAAAGGCAGACAAATAATCGAGAAACACAGTAAGGCCAAAAGCTGGTTCTTTGAAATTGTGAGGAATATCAGTAAACCCCTAGCTAGTCAGATCAAGGAAAATAAAGAGGGATGGCTGGGCACGGTGGCTCACACCTGTAATCTCAGCACTTTGGGAGGCCATGGCGGGTGGATTACTTCAGGCCAAGAGTTCAAAACCAGCCCGGACAACATGGTGAAATCCTTTCTACTAAAACAAAACATTAGCTGGGCATGGTGGCGGGCGCCTGTAATCCCAGCTACTTGGGAGGCTGAGGCAGGAGAATTGCCTGAATCCGGGAGGTGGAGGTTGCAGTGAGCTGAGATTGTGTCACTGCACTCTAGCCTGGGGGACAGAGCGAGACGCCATCTAAAAACAAAACAAAACAAAACAAAAACAGAAAGAGAGAAAATATGTATTACCAACATCGAGAATGAGCAAATAGTTACCACTATAGAGCCTATAGACATTTAAAGGATACAATGGGGCATATTTTAATGTAATTGTCAACAAATTAAATGGACAAATTCCTTGAAAAATACTAGCTGCAAAACTGACACGACATGAAGCAAAAAATCCGAATTGCCATATATATAAGAAATTAAATTAATAATTAAAAAACTGTGGCTGGGTGCAGTGGTGCACACCTGTAAATCCCAGCACCTTGGGTGACTGAGGCAGGAGGATCACTTGAGCACCTGAGCCCAGGAGTTTGAGACCAGCCTGGGCAATACGGCAAAACCCCGTCTCTACAAAAAATACAAAACATTCACCAGGCATGGTGGCACGTGCCTGGAGTCCAAGCTACTCGAGGGGTTGAGGTGGGAGGATTGCTTTAGCCTGGGAGTTGGAGGTTGCAGAGAGCTGAGATCACACCACTGCACTCCAGTTGCGTGACAGAGTGAGACCCTTTCTCAAAAAAATAAAATAAAAAAAATTAGAAACCTTTTAACCAAGAAAAGTCTTGGCCACAACATTTCACTAGTGAATTCTATCAAATGTTTAAGAAGTTATATTAATGATACACAAATTCTATCAGAAAATAAAGGAGGGAGAACTTCCTAACTTATTTTGTAAAGCCAGCATATAACCCTAATGCCAAAACCTGAAGAAGATTATTACCCTCCGCTTCAAAAAATGTAAATTGATAAACATAGATAATTAAAGAAATGCATTTGGATATCCTCATCTGTCTCATCTGTTGTGCAGATAGTTCTAGCAAATTTAACGAGTACATGTAAAGCATTTATTTATTCATTAGAATAGAGGAAGTAATAATTTTACAATTTATATTTTAGTGTCCACCAGGGAGAACTGGTATGGCCTTGAGGAAATTCACTCCAAAATGTGATGGAATTGGCCTCCTGTATCACTAATTTCACAGTCACTCCAGGCATATCATTCAGTGGTTTGAAAACAGAAATAGACTACACACAGTTGTATATCTAGGAAGAAAAGTCATTCTGCTGAGGTTTATTTTGGAACACCTTGCTCATCAGAAAGCAAGCTGGGTAGAGGGCATAAATGGCTGATGGGAGGAAATTGGAGCAGGAGGCTGCTTTGATCCTACTGCACAAGTCACCATGCAGTCACACAGGGCCCCATGCAGCTCACAGCTCTGCTGCTAATGTTTGAGTTCACATATTTATAGAGCTCTCCACCCTTTGTCCAGCAGCAATAACAAATGACCCCCATGAATGGTGAAAAAAATATCTTGAGTACATACACTAAATTGAATTTTCCTGGTTATCATGTAAACTTTGATATGATTGAAAAGACTGAAAGCTGTTATATTAATATCAAAGTTAAATTCAAGACAAAAAGCATTAAAAGTGATAAAGAAAGTAATTTTTCTTGGCCAGGTGTGGTGGCCCACACCTATAATCCCAGCACTTTGGGAGGCCGAGGTGGGCAGATCACCGGAGGTCAGGAGTTTGAGACCAGCCTCGCCAACATGGTGAAACTCCATCTCTACTAAAAATACAAAAATTAGCCAGGCATGGTGGTGCATGCCTATAATCCCAGCTACTCTGGAGGCTGAGGCAGGAGAATTGCTTGAACCCAGGAGGCAGAGGTTGCAGTGAGCCGAGATCACGCCATTGTACCCAGCCTGGGTGACAAGAGCAAAACTCCATCTCAAAAAAAAAAAAAAAAAAATACTAGGAGTTAAGTAAAGTCCATGTAAATTTTACTTGTATAAAACTTATATACAGAATTTTCTCTCTGTAGATTATGACACTTTCCTTATGAAACTTGAGACTTCTGCTTAACCTCAAATTTTATTTGTATCTTCATCACTTTCTTCTTCTTCTCATCACTTCACAAAAATTGAGTTCACAGCAAGAGCTGATCACATCGCCCCTTGCAGTTAAACTGCAAGGAGCTAGGAACTGTGGAAGGCAAATGGAATATTTGGTAAATCAATCTCTCTCTCTCTCTCTCTCGAGAGAGAGAGAGTTCCGTATCCCATGTTTTGGAATTTCCAAAATTGAACTTCAATTAAATGCCACTAAAATTTACTTTTTGGCAGAAAAGTTTGCGGTTTATGTGATACATGCTCTGTTTTACAAAATCTGTATATGTGAAATGATTTTCAGGAATACGAATTTCATAGTGATGAGAGAACTCACTTCAAAAATGGTAACAGTTTTGTCTAATTAAAAGTGATTAAATGTCTGCATGCTTATCTGCATTTTCCAATTCCACAAAGAGCAGGTGTTACTTCTCTTCAGGGGGATAATTCAGGAGGAAAATTCCAAAGAAATGACTCCCAAGTCAAAGGCACATAAGAGAGAAAAATGGAAGAAAACTCTGGGGTTACAGTGTTTGGAAAGAATGTCCTCTTACAGGCTAGGCTTCTGCCATTTAGCACATGGCTTTTTTTTTTTTTTTTTTTTGAGACGGAGTCTCACTCTGTTGCCCAGGCTGGAGTACAGTGGCGCGATCTCAGCTCACTGCAACTTCTGTCTCCCAGGTTCAAGCAATTCTCCTGCCTCAGCCTCCAGAGTAGCTGGGATTACAGGTGTCTGCCACCACGCTCCTCTAATTTTTGTATTTTTAGTAGAGACAAGGTTTCACCATGTTGGCCAGGTTGGTCTCAAACTTCTGAGCTCAAGCAATCTGCCTGCCTTGGCCTCCCAAAGTGCTAGGATTACAGGCGTGAGCCTCTATGCCTGGTGGGCACATGGCTCTTAAAGTTCCTCCTCACCTTGTGGGTTAAGCCCTACACAACACTGGCATCAGATCAGAGAGCTGCAGAGCACTGTGTGCCAGAGAGCCAAAGAATTACATTCACAGATTTATGAAAATAAGAATATTTCATTAAAAAAAAAACAACAAAGACGTTTGGTTTAAGGGAAATAGCAGAACCTGACCCCCATCGCCAAGTCTTCCCCTGAGACCCTTGCTCTTGTCATGTAAATAGTTATCTCTCCACAGTACCTCTAAGTAGGGACCATTGTGTGGATCCTGTGACACTCAGATATTGACAGGATTCAGCCTACTTTATGAGTTGAAGTTCTGAAATAAGAAGGATGTCAATATTTCTTCCCAAAGAACATTACCTAGGGATTGATACAAATGATAACTATAAATCCCGCGAAGGGATAGTTGACATATTTGTTTATTCTCTAGAGCAGTGCTACCGAACCCTGGCTGTAAAATAGATTTACTTGGGAGAGATTTTTAAAAATAGCTGCCCTCCTCCAACCTAAAGCACCAGGCATTTGTTGGGTAACCTTGGGCAAGTCACTCCATCCCTGTGGATCTCAGCTTCTTCTCCTGTAAAGTCAGCTTAATAAAACCTGCCCTGTCTACTTCAAGAAATGTGAGGATCAAATAAATTAACGGCTTTGTGAAACAATGTATGAGTATTACAAAAATGTTAATTATGTTTAAATTCTTTAACCACACTCCTTGTAACCAAAGGCCTCTTTCTATTACAAGGACAGGCACTGCTGGAATACATTTGATGGCCATGAATGAAGTTATCTGACCCCTGTAGGGGCTGAGCCTTAGGATGTTGGACTGATTAGGCCCTATTTATGCAATAAGTAAAAACTCTGGCCTCATGATTATGGTCTTATTGGTTAACTTGGAAATACTAGTGTTCTCTTGGGCCCGCATGCATACAAACCTGGATGCCATCTGGAAAAGAAACACTAAGATGTATATATGGAACCACAAAAGACTCAGAATAGCCAAAAGTATCCCAGCCAAAAAGAACAAAACTGGAGGAATCACATTACCTGACTTCAATTTATACTACAGAGCTATAGTAACCAAAACAGCATGGTACTGGCATAAAAACAGATCCACAGACCAGTGGAACGTAATAGAGAACCCAAAAATAAATACATACACCTACAGTGAACTCATTTCCAACAAAGGTTCCAAGAACATACATTGGGGAAAGAACAGTCTCTTCAATAAATGATGCCAGGAAAACTGGATATCCATATGCAGAAGAATGAAACTAGACCCCTATCTCTCACCATATACAAAAATCAAATCAAAATGGATTAAAGACTTAAATCTAAGACTTCAAACTAGGAAGCTGCTATAAGAAAACATTGAGAAAACTCTCCAGGTTGTTGGACTGGGCAAAGACTTCTTGAGTAATACCCCACAGGCACCAGCAACCAAAGCAAAAATGGACAAATGGGATCACATCAAGTTAGAAAGCTTTTGCCCAGCAAAGGAAACAATCAACGAAGTGAAGAGACGACCCACAGAATGAAGGAAAATATTTGCAAACTTCTCATCTGACAAAGGATTAACAACCAGAATATATAAGGAGCTCAAACAACTCCACAGGAAAAACAATCTAATAATCTGATCTAAAAATGGGCAAAAGATCTGAAAATAGGCAGAAGATCTGATTTCTCAAAAGAAGATATACAAATGGCAAACAGGTATGTGAAAAGGTGCTCAATATCATTGATCATCAGAGAAATGCAAATCAAAACTACAATAAGAGATCATCTCGCCCCAGTTAAAACGGCTGGAGAGGATGTAGAGAAAAAGGAACCCTCATGCAGTGTTGGTGGGAAGGTAAATTAGTGCAACTGCTATGGAGAACAGTTTGGAGCTTCCTTAGAAAACTAAAGAAAGGGCCCGGGTGCAGTGGCTCACGCCTGTAATTCCAACACTTTGGGAGGCTGAGGCAGGCAGATCACGAGGTCAGGAGTTTGAGACCAGCCTGATCAATATGGTGAAACCCCATCTCTACTAAAAATACAAAAATTAGCCAGGCACGCTGGTGCATGCCTGTAATCCCAGATACTAGGGAGGCTGAGGTAGAAGAATTGCTTGAACCTGGGAGGCAGAGGTTGCGATAAGCTGAGATCGCACCACGGCATTCCAGCCTGGGCAACAGAGCCAGACTCCATCTCAAAAAATAATAATAAATAAGAAAACTAAAAATAGAGCTACCATACCATCCAGCAATCCCACTCCTAGGTATATACACCCCAAAACGGAAATCAGTATATCAAAGAGATATCTGCACTCTCGTGTCTATTGCAGCACTATACATAATAGCTAAAATTTGGAAGGAACCTAAGTGTCTGTCTACAGATGAATGGATAAAGACAATGTGGTACATATTCACAATGGAGTACCATTCAGCCATAAAAAAGAATGAGATCCTGTCATTTGCAATAACATGGATGGAACTGGAGATCACTATGTTAACTGAAATAAGCTAGGCACAAAAGTCAAACATTGCATATTCTCACGTACCTGTGGGAGCTAAAAACTTTAAAAATTGAACTCATGAAGATAGAGAACAGAAAGATGGTCATAAGAGGCTGGGAAGGGTAGTAGGGGGGACTAGTTGGGATGTGGGGGGCAAGTAAAATATCAAGCGTCAGCGTGTGTGTGTGTGTGTGTGTGTGTGTCTGTGTGTGTGTATGTGTGTTTATTCCAAGCCTCTGGCTTTTAGATCTTTTCCCACTAGAGAGGTTAATTTGGAATATGGAAAGGTCCATTTTTCTAGTCCTGGTTCTGCTCTTAACTACCTGTGTGACCTAGACTAGTCTTTTTACATACGTAGGCTTCGGTTGTCATTTGAGGGCATCATAATAAAAATATGTCTAAGTTTCTTTTCAGTCCTAAAACTCTACGGCTTGACACACAATTTTATCTGATCATTTTATAAGTAATTTCAGATTTGCAGTGTAGGTACTTTTATGACATTGTTAGTGAAGCCAGTGATTGATTTGACCAAAGTCCTTTGTCAGGAAATTAAGCTCCTATAAATAATATCATTATTTTTGCAGAAAAAATATGAACTGCTTTTTAATTTCCATAATGGGTATACTGTATATTATAATTTGCAGCCTATTAGTGAACAAATGTCTGTGGTTGGGCTGTGCATGCTGTATAGATGGCTCCTGGGAAAGGCAGAAGCTTCTTTATGCACCCATTATTGACCAGATTTAACCCAAAGATGAGTTTGACAACACTCCAAGCACACCATCAGGTGAGTGATCCAGGAACACTTTTAGTTCATTCTCTTCCCTCCAGATGGAGTTGGCATCACTGATATCACCTGATATTGGAGAGCTTGCAGATCAGTGTTTTCTCCACTCTTCATCATTTGACAAAGGATGTGACTCATGAAGACCAGGCAACCTTAATACCGCAAAGTCCCATGTACTTAGGTGAAAATGGAAAATGTGGTGGTTGAGAACATGAAGTTTTTCATGCAATTTCAACCCAGACTACCACAAAGTCACCATAATCCTTTGTAACTCTTTGAGTCACTCCACAAACCCACCACAAACCACTTTAATTCTAGACCAGCTTCTCCAAGCTACCCAGCTACCTATACCACTTCCCTTTTATCAATGAAAGAAATACATAGTCTAGAAAAATTCCTTGGGAAAAACACGTTAATTCAGCAAATATTTTTGAACGCCTACAATGTGTCAAACACCGCTCTAGACACTAGGGATACACTTAGGAACAACACAAACATCTTTCATGGAGTTTACATTCTAGATAGCTAGAAGCTGACAAAAACAAAGCAAAACAAAAACAAAAACAAAAAACCCCGATGCTTTTGCTTTTGATTCTTCTTCATATCTTTTAAACATGCTCCAGGTCGTCATGATCTTTCTTAAAATGTCGCATCCCAAAATCGAGCAAAAATTCCATTCAACTATTCTAAACTGAAACCTGGCCTTCCAGATCATAATGAAAGTATATTTGTAGGGTGAGCATGGTAGCTTATTTTGGGAGGCCAAGGATGGAGGACCACTTGAGCCCAGGAGTTTGAGACCAGCCTGGGAAACATAGTGAGACTCCATAAAAAAAAATTAAAAATTTGCCCAGTGTGGTGGTATGTACTTACAGCCCTAGCTACTGGGAGGCTGAGGAGGGAGGATGGCTTGAGCCCAGGGGTCGAGGCTGCAGTGAGTTATGATCACACCATGCACTCCAGCCTGGGTGACAGAGTGAAACCTTGCCTCTTAAAAAATATCTATCTATATATAATTTTTTATAAATATTTAAATAGAGATGGGATTTCACCATGTTGCCCAGGCTGGTCTGGAACTCCTGAGCTCAAGCAATCCTCCTGCCTCGGCTTCCCAAAGTGCTGGGATTACAGGCGTGTACCACCAATCTTGGCCAAAAAAAAGGGTATATTTTTAATATTTACATTTACCTTTGTCAAGGTAGGAGGATCAAATGTATTTTATTTAAGTTTGTTGGCTTGATTTATAAGTCTTAAATATTTAGACCTGTGGTATGTAAGCCTCTACTTGTTCTTTGGTCTCATACCCTACCGGTATTAGGGATTGATGAGTTAATGGGAGAGTGTTCCTCCCCACAGAATTTGTTTCCTACTCATGGCATCAAAATCCGTATATTTAAGACCAATTTTCTCCAAACCAATCATCAAAATATTACGACTCTTTTTTTTTGAGATGGAGTCTCGCTGTGTCACCCAGGCTGGAGTGCAGTGGCGCCATCTCGGCTCACTGCAAACTTCACCTCCCAGGTTCAAGCGATTCTCCTGCCTCAGCCTCCCGAGTAGCTGAGATTACAGGTGCCTGCTACCATGCTAATTTTTTTTATTTTTAGTAGAGACGGGGTTTCACCATGTAGGTCAGGCTGGTCTCGAACTCCTGACCTCAGGTGATCCACCCACCTCAGCCTCCCAGAGTGCTGGGATTACAGGTGTGAGCCACCATGCCTGACCAAACTTTCTGTTGCAAAAAAAGAAACAAAAAAAACCACAGAGATTTGTGCAGGTTAGCTGAAGCAGTGGAACATTTAGTATAAGAATTCTCATGGGATAGGAGAGAGTTGTTAGGACTCCAAGAATAGAAACCATAGGCAGCTGGGCCTTGCAGAGAGGCAAAGTGGAGTCAGGGCAGCTCCAGGGATCTTGCAGTAGGGATCATCATGCTGGTGCCCTGGAGGTAACATGGCTCCAAGCCACTGCTTTTCTGGATGCATTTCTTCCTCTCATTCTTACCTGGATTCCCGTGAGTTTTGTGTTCCCTTTGCCTCATAGCTTGTCATTCGTGATGTGGCTTGCCCACAAGGACTCTCTGCAACCCTGTAACTGAGCATATTTCTGGCATTCCCCAGGCTGCCATCAGCTTAACATGCTCCGTATTTCTCAATTCAAAATATCAAGGATGGCTGGGCGCGGTGGCTCATGGTTGTAATCCCATCATTTTGGGGGGCCGAGGCGGGCAGATCACCTGAGATCGGGAGTTCAAGACCAGCCTGATCAACATGGAGAAAACTTGTCTCTACTAAAAATACAAAATTAGCCAGGCGTGGTGGTACATGCCCTGTAATCCCAGCTACTCAGAGGCTAAGGCAGGAGAATCACTTGAACCTGGGAGGCGGAGGTTGCAGTGAGCCGAGATCACGCCATTGTACTCCAGCCTGGGCAACAAGAGCAAAACTCCATCTAAAAAAAAAAAAAAAAATCAAGGACCAGAATGTAATTGGATCTCTGTGCTCCTTGAAAGGAAGCCAGTTTCCTGGTCTAATTAATACATCTGGTGGAGCATCATTGGTTGATTGAGTGTCCTTCTGTTAGGTGTGCACCCCTATCTAAGTAGCTATGGTCCGAGGGGATCATGTAATAGAAAACCTGGCTGCTGACGGCTGGCTTATGATGGGACAGTTTTTCTTAGAAGTGGCTGTGGGCACAGAAGACACCATGGTTATTCAGTACAGTAGTTGTGGTGAGTCTCTGGCCACCCTATCATATTTGCTACACATTCTCCAAGAAAACAGTTCATCTCCTGACTAGCCATGATACACCACCATAGCATATCTCTATAGTGGAACACTAACGCCAGTATATATTTCTTCTTAATAAGGCAGGTGTAAGGATTATTAAATTTGCTATCATCAGTGGTTCTTCCTCATTTTTCTGAGGTGCACAGGTTAATGCTTCTTCCTCAGAAGGTTCATAATTCACTTCAGGTGGGGTCTGCACCCCACTTAGTCGGGGGCCAGGGAAGATATCTTCTGCATAAAGCACTAGCAAAATGGTGATGGTTTGGGTCCTGGGGTCCAGAGCTAGATTTGGTAGAGGGGAGATTTATGAGTGTGAACCAAGTTTTTTACAAAATGCCAAGGAAAGAGATTGAGAAAGCCAAGTCCAGGCGGCAAGTCCAGAAGGCAGAACAAGGTCAAAAGCAGGAGACAGTCCAAGGATCGGGAATTGGGCAAAATTGGAACAGATGGAGGGTGACGTGAGAACTGCTGACACAGGAGCCAAAGTGTCTGTGTTTGCTTTTATGGACTCACCAGGCAGGGCATGGGGGATATTCTGGAAGAGCCTATTTCCTTCTCCTTCTCCCTTTACTCCTGGGCAGGTTCTTTTGTTTCAACCTCTGAGAGTCATTCCAACCCTTCTTCATCAACTTGGAAGCTTTTACTTTCTGCTGGGGTTATTTTTTCCTGCCTGTCTCAGAATTCTCCAATTTCTTTAATAACCTGGAGTTCAGCATGACATATCTCAAGCCTTTTAACCAGCTTGCTTTAAAGAACAGTCTGTCTGGGCACAGTGGCTCATGTCTGTAATCCCAATACTTTGGGAGGCCGATGTAGGTGGATCACTTGAGGTCAGGAGTTCGAGACCAGTCTGGCCAACATGGTGAAACTTCGTCTCTACTAAAAATACAAAAATTAGCTGGGCGTGGTGGTGGGCGCCTGTAATCCCAGCTAATGCGGAGGCTGAAGCAGGAGAATAGCTTGAACCCGGGAGGTGGAGGTTGCAGTGAGCTGAGATCACACCATTGTACTGCAACCTGAGCAACAGAGCCAGACTCGGTCTCAAAAAAAAAAAAAAAAAAAAAAAAAAAAAGAACACAGTCCGGAAGATGAATTTTGCATCTGCCTTACAGGTCATTGAAACTATTCCCTCAGCGCATGTGTGCTTGAGAATCAAGAACAGCAAGCTTCATGTCTTCCTCAAGGAAACTCTGCTCCTGTCTTATGACATTCCTGGGAAGAGCTGCTTTATACAGTTCTTTTTATGTTGTGTATCCAGCCCCACCCCAGTCCCAAGCCTGATAATCTACCACGGAAAGATAGCAGTTACTAAGGTGGCTTGTTATCACAGGTCTGATACACTCCCTCATCATCTCACAGATGCGCACCTGATTCTTGACGTTGGGTAATCCACACGATGACCAGCAATACTACCTTGCTCACATACCTCCCTGTGTTGCATATTCCACACCTCTATCATGACTGCTGTCTGTAAAGGACACATGTCCAGCTTTATAGTCAGAGATGATGCCATTAATAATTCCAAAGAGAAAAATCTTTTGAATTGGCTCTACTAATTCTAAAATCATTAAAATGTCATTGTTCCTAAGGAAAATGGTCTAAGATCTATCCTCAGTTGCTGTACTCACAAATGACCAAATAAGTCTGAATTCGTATCTCCACCTGCAACAACGTTTCTTGTTATGTTTTCAGAATACCCGTGAAGTTACCAGCCTAGGGGTGACTTTAAGGGTGGAGTGTGTGCATGTGGGGAGAAGAGGTTTGTCCATAGAACTTCTTTTTAAAATGCATTTATAAATCGTGGTCTAGGGTGCCCCAAATCTTACTATTAGTGCTATATGATGAGAGCATTGACAAGAAAATGGGTTTTTGTGGACTGGCATGGGAGTTAGGCTCTCGCTTTTACTTTACGTGGGCGAGGCACAGTGGCTCATACCTATAGTCCCAATGCTTTGGGAGGCCAAGGCAGGAGGCTCTCTTGAGCCCAGGAGCTTGAAACCAGTTTGGGCAACAAAAACAAGATCCCATCCCTACGAAAAATTTAAAAATTAGCTGGGCATGGTGACACACCTGTAGTCCCAGCTACTCAGGATGCTGACGCAGGAGGATCGCTTGAGCCCAGGGAGTCGAGGCTGCAGTGAGCAGTGATCAATCCACTGCACTCCAGCCTGGGCAACAGAGCAAGACCATGTCTAAAAGCAAACAAACAAACGAAAAAACCCCATAAACATGTAACAGGAGCGTCATCAGCCCTTTGACGCTAGTATGTAGTGTGTTCTGCAATAGTTTAGAACTTACACAAATATAGGCCTTTCTCAAACAACCAAGTGGTATTTTCTGAGTTTGTATAGTGGAGAAGATATAGGCGTTAAAAGACATGTTTACTTTTTTAATAAGCAGTTCAATTGTTTTTCTTATTCACGTAACTCAGGATCAACAGTAACTTCATCTAATGTGCCATCAGAGCAGTCGCAAATTGAATGAAAGTGATGGCCACCACAAAATCCTTTTTCTCCTGAACTCTCCATAAAGTCTCCTTTCTTTGCACATCTTTGTGCTAAAATAATTAGCTACTTGTAAAGACAGTACACATAGCAACACTACACATTCACATATTTTTCCCACATCTGTTGTCTTATTTAAGCGCAACTTATTTGGAATCAGAATTGAATTCAAATTGGGACTAAGGCAGTAAGTAACTATGACCTCGAGGAAGTCACTTAAGCTCTCTGGGTCTCAGTTTTCTCACTTGTACAATGAGATTAATAATAAAAATTATGGCTGAGCAAGTGGCTATGCCTGTACTCCTAGTACTTTGGGAGGCCGAGGAAGGTGGATTGCTTGAACTCAGGAGTTTGAGACCAGCCTGGGCAACATGGTGAAACCCCATCTCTGCCAAAATACAAAAATTAGCTGAGTGTGGTAATGCACACTTGTGGTCCCAGCTACTTGGGAGGCTGAGGTGGAAGGACCACCTGAGCGGGGGACGTTGAAACTGTAGTGAGCTGTGATCATGCTTCTGCACTCCAGCCTGGGTGACAGAGCTTGACTCTATCTTGGGGGGGAAGAAATTACCTCACTGGATAGTACAGATTAAATAAGCTAATATTTGCAAATTTCCTTGCACAGAGTATGCATTCAATAAATGGTAGATTAATCTCCAATAACTGTCCCAAGCTTTGTAAGTCTGCCAGATGGTTTTAATTATCCCTGCCTGGATAGATGAGTTTAAGTGACTTATCCAGGGTTAAACAATTCATTAATGGCAGCACTAGTGCTTCTGATTCCAGGGACCCACCCCAGCCCATCACCCCCAGTCAACTTTATAGACTTTTATAGAATGAGATGCTGTGTCCAGCACAAGAAGAGAATTCTCCTTGGTGAAGGTAAGAGCCACAGGATGCGAAAGACCATGAGTGACCATGGGCTTCGGTACTGGAAACTCCTCAGGTTTTCCTAAGCAAAGGATAGCTGGACCAGATGTATCTGCAACAATCACATTTCCCTGGTGATCAAAGGTCACAGCGGAGGCAGTTATTTTGGAGGGAAAGTAGAGGCTCAGCCCAAAGGTATCCACTTGGCCGACAAGCTGCATACTTGAGCTAAACACTTTCACCCTGGTGCTGCAAACCCCAGTCCCCAGGGCCAGGGGGTGCTCCAGGACCGCAATGGCCCCGGTGAGCCAAGACACTGCCACCCCTCGGGGATTGCACAGATGAGCTTGCAACCTTTCAGTTCTCCGAAGGACCCCTTCCGCGAAGTCGACGTCCAGGAGGTGCAGGGACCCTGCCTCCGCATCAGTTACCACAATCCCATTCTGAGGGGTGGTCTCCACACCCCAAGGTAAGGAGAATTGGCCTCCAATGACAAGCTTGATCTGGCCAAAAAAATCAAACACTTTGATGGAGCGATCGCCGGCGTCAGTGACAACCACATGGCAGTCGTTGGTGATGGTGACATCCACAGGGTACCTAATGTCTTGGGCAGCGTCCCCCTTCTCTCCAAACTGATGCGCGCATCCTCCCCCTGAGTCAAAAATCTTGACACGCCTCCTGCCGTCGTGCACCACCACGACACGCCCCGTCTTGGGACAAAGCGCCAGTCCGGTGGGGTTGACCAGGGTCCCCCAGCCGCCGAAGGTGTGGTGGCAGGTGAGGGCTCCGGGGGCGCTGGGGGCGGCGCGATGGGCGGCCGGGGACTGGCGAAGCGCTGAGCCCAGGAGCTCTATGAGGTGCAGCACCGGCAGGCAGTCGCTGGTGTCGCAGCCCCGGCAAGCTCGCCTGCAGAATGGGCACTCGAGGGCCAGAGTGCGCGGGTGCGCCAGGGCGGCCACGCAGGCCAGGCAGACCACGTGGCCGCAGGACAGGTTGCGCGGGCGCCGCTGCTGCCGGTGGCCAAACTTCTCAAAGCACACCTTGCACTCGAGCAGGCTGATCTCCGCCTCGCGCATGAGCTCATGCAGCGCTGGCCCGCTCTCCGAGGCTTCGGCCGCCATGGCGCGTCCTGTGCACTCCCGCCGCGCCGCCTGGCCGTGCCCCAGCGACGCTCTCGGTCACGGTCACAGTCATGGTCACGGGGTGGGACGTGCGCCCTGACGTCGAGCGCCGCGGGCCTCTGCACTGCGATCTGCTGCCCCTTGGTGGGCACGCGCGGCACTGTTTCCTGAGGGCCTGATGGTGGACGTTTGCAAGACAAATCCACATGCGCGTTGTGTAGACCTGTAATCGTCACAGCAGTCATGGATGGATTGTGTACACTTTCAGATGAGGAAACACACCTATTGAGGACAACAGGATTGCTCCCTGTCACCCAGCCTGTAAGCGGCAAAACAAGAACTAGAACCCAATCTTCCAGCCCGGGTGCCTAGCAGTGTCTCCAATCCGCAGCGCCGGGTGCTACGGCTGTCCGGGCATAAAACATGGTCCCTTAGCTCATGATGCTTATGATCTGAACCGGAAAACACGAACACACTAGAGAAGATAAACTCCAAGGGAGGTGAGGCAGATGTGTACATTTCTTTTGTGTCTTCTGTCATACTCATAGTTAAGTCAATGTTAGATGAATACATACTTGTAAAATGAATTTGTGCATGAATGAATGTTATAGAACAACAACAACAACAAAAAAAAATCAACGAGGTGAATGAGTGTCAGATGGGGCAACCATGCTGGAAGTGTCTTGCAGAGTAATTAATATGAAATAAGAAAGCTGTTAGTTAATAATAATTACCATAGAACTTCATTTTTTTGTTTTTTAAGACAAAGTCTCACTCTGTCACCCAGGCTGGAGTGCAGGGGCACGATCACAGCTCACTGCAGCCTCCATCTCCCAGGCTCAAGCAATCCTCCCACTTCAGTAGCTGGGACTACAGGCATGCACCATCACACTAGGCTAATTTTTTAATTTTTTTGTAGAGAGGAGGTCTCACTATGTTGCCTAGGCTGGTCTTGAACTTGTGAAAATTGTTCACATTCCTCCCCACCCCTTGGCCTCCCAAAGTGCTGGTGTGAGCCACTGTGCCCAGCCTATGGAATTCACATATGCCTGCCCCATTGTGTTAGGTTGGTGAAAAGGATTCGCAGTGTTTGCCATCACTTTTAATGGCAAAACCGTGATTACTTTTGCAGCAAATTAATAAATAATTTACATAGATTATCTTGTTTAAACCTCATAGCAATCCTACAAAAATATGTTATTTTTATTGTCTTTTTTTCTGATAGAATTCATAGAAATCAAATATCTTGCCCAGGGTCACATGGCTAGGAAGTGGCTGGCCTGGAATTTGAAGCCAGGCAGTTTGACTTCAGAGTTACCTATTTTAGTCATTTTCAAACTTCTTTGCACATGGTAAACACCTGGGTCGCACCCGAAAAGTTTAATTGGCCCATGGTGTGGTCTGGACAGCTGGGATTTATAAAAGCTCCCCAGGTGATTATAATGTACAGCCAAGTTTGAGAAACACTGCATTATAATAATTCCCTCAAATGACACTAAGTTCAGTTTTTCCAATCTCAGTTAAGACCAAAAACAAAGAGAATTTGCCATATGTTGGAAAATCTTCAAACAAGGGATAGCATAATCTGTGTGAAGAATCCATTGTGGTATTATAATCTCTCATTTTTCTTTTTCTTTCTTTTTTTTTTTTTTCTTTTTGAGACAGAGTCTTGCTCTGTCACCAGGCTGGAGTGCAGTGGCGCGATCTCGGCTCACTGCAGCCTCCACCTCCTGGGTTCAGGCGGTTCTCCCACCTCAGCCTCCTGAGTAGCTGGGATTACAGGCACCCGTGACCATGCCTGGCTAAGTTTTGTATTTTTAGTAGAGATGAGGTTTCACCATGTTGGCCAGGCTGGTCTCAAACTTCTGACCTTTCGCGTCAGCCTCCCAAAGTGCTAGGATTACAGGCATGAGCCACCGTGCCTGGCCCTAAACTCTTATTTTTAAGGGGTTCTCCCTCAAATGTCTTATGTGAACATTGTGCTTAACAAAACCTTGTATTAGAGAATTTCTTTTCCTTTAGAGATCATAATCATGAACATTCACCTTCTGATTTGCTAGATTTCTGAGAAAACACAATATTTTATCCCCTGTTGAGGCCCCTGGAAAGAGCTTTAATGTAAGACAAGAAAGAACATTTTCTAATCAAATGTCATTTGACTCAAAGATTGCGTACTGGGACACAATAACCAACTTAATAATTTCTGACTACATTTCCATCCCAAATAAACAACCAACTAAAATCACATTATTTATGCAATCACACCATTGCATAATTGATTAATAACAAATATGTCTTGAATCTCACTCTGACATTTGGCATTTCCTATGACTATCATTTCCTCCTCCATGGCTGGGCCTCCATGGATTTACCCTGTGCTTCCCTCCGATATTCCTTCTATAGAGGGTCCTGGACTAGCATGCCCATCTTTTCCTGCTTCCACCTAGAACAAGCCCTGAGAGTTGTGGGGGCAAAGGGCTTGAAGAGCAGAACGTCTAGTTTCCAAAGTGGTCAATGGCTGCCCTATGAAAAAGTACCATACTATAGTGGAAGGAGAGTGGGGACCCAGCTCAGGATGGTTCCAGCAGAGAAGAGAGCACAGGGGGAGCATGAGTTAGGGGGAGTCAGTGCTTAGACAGGTGGGCTCCTGGTTGTGCAGGTGGGGCAAATGTGCCAGACACATGCAGTTTAGAAGGAATCCCAGAACAAGTTTAATGATCCAATTACAACTCAGACTACCTGACAATGATGTAAGGGAAAGGAAGATGAACAAGCCACACAGAATGGGCTTTGCTTCCAGCCTTGCCCTCCTCCCAGGGGCGTCTCTGACCACCACTCTAATTTTTAAGCTCCATGTTCTTGGCATCTCAGGGGTGAGGGATGTGGTGGCAAGAGGAAGAATGGCTGTTTTTGAATTTTTTGAGTAAGTCCATACAAAAATGAGTGGAGATGTATGTTTGGAAATGGGGATCTAGAGATTTGAGTGCATCTCAAGTTCAATGCAATTGAGTGTTCCTCAGGGTGCCACCTTCAGTCTTTTTCTCTTAGCTTCCTACCTGTTTCCCTGAGCAATGCCATCTTCACTTCCTCGTGGTTTAAATGACCAGTTATAAGCTGACAGCTCCCTGCCTGTACCCCTAAGACAGCCATACCATATGAAGTTCAATGTTCAGTCCCTACCCCTACAACCTGTGATGCCTGAGAAAAGGATTATCTTCAATAATCAATAAACCTTTATCTGCTAGCACACCCAATAGTACTTAAATTGCTGAATGAATGCTGACTCTAATAGCAGGAGAAAGACTAAATAATAATTGTACTGCCACATTACAACATTATACAGCTATTTAAAAATCTTGCTTTTGAAAAATATTTAGTGACACTGTTACCAGTAGAAGGTTTGACTACAAGTTGTCCAGGTTCTTGGCTTTTTGAACAAAGAATTGGACAAAATGCACAGCAAAGCAGAGAAAGAATGAAGTAACAAAAGCAGAGATTTATTGAAAATGAAAGTGCTCCACAGGGTGGGACCTGGCTGAGCAGTGGCTCAAGGGCCCTGGTTACAGAATCTTCTGGGGTCCAAATACTGCCTAGAGGTTTCCCACTGGCCACTTGGTATTCATCCCATGCAAATAAAGTAGTGGCCCGCAATCAGTCTGATTGGTTGCTTTTGCTTGCTGCAACCAATGAGAGGCCGAAGTGAAGTTACAAAAGTTACACTCCTATGCAAACGTTTGATTGGTTGCAGATGTTTCTGCCACGCAGAAAAGGCTAGGGGCGGTGGGGTGGTGGAGGTTACAAAGGGAGTAGCCTCTGGTCCTTTTGTTACTTAGGCATGGAAAGTTGAGGTTTTCCTTTCAATTTAGTTCTAGGAAGTCAGCATGAATCAGCCTTAGGTTCCCTGCCTCAAGACCCTATTCTCCTGCCTCAACTCCAGGAAGGGTGAATGAAATAGAAAGAAAGATAGTGGAGATACAATACTGTATCGTAATGTGATCACAACAACCTTGTGAAAACATTCACATGTATGAGCAGACAAAAAAGATGAGAAGAAAATACATCACCATCATAGCAGTAATTATCTCCAGTGATAGGACTTGATTGCTTTTCTTTTTCTTTTTAGACTTCCCAAATTTTCAATGCATAAAGGATTATTTGTCATATTTAAATATAAATAACTTAATATTTTATGATATATTTCATTTCTAAATATCTGCCTCGATTATCCTCCTGTTGTCGAAAGTTAACACCAATAGTGAAATAAATTTCTATTAATACCCACTGTTCAGGAATCACAGATTTTCAAGCATATTTTCAGCTCACAAATTACAGCTACACATAAGTAATAAATCTGGGACATGACTATTTTCTGCAAATCGGAATGACTATGCTTAAGGCACATAAATAGAATTCTGTCCAATTCCCACCAGCCACTGGTGAATTTGTCATATAATGTTTTATAAGGCAAAAAGCACATCACATAAGAAGTGATTGGAAAGTCAGAGCTGTAGGGATTAAAGATGATAATTTTTAATTTTAATTTTGTTGTTGTTGTTTTTGTTTTGAGACAGTTTTGCTCGTTGCCCAGGCTGGAGTGCAATGGCTTGATCTCGGCTCACCACAACCTCCACCTCCTGGGTTCAAGCAATTCTCCTGACTCAGCCTCCCGAGTAGCTGGGATTACAGACATGTGCCAACCATGCCCGGCTAATTTTTTGTATTTTTAGTAAAGACAGGGTTTCACCGTGTTGGCCAGGCTGGTCTCGAATGCCCGACCTCAGGTGATCCGCCCACCTCGGCCTCCCAGAGTGCTGGGGTTACAGGCATGAGCCACTGTGCCCGGCCAATAACTGATTTTTTAAAAAGCACTCAGTAGAAATCTTTCTCTGAAACACCTTTCAGAAAGAGTAGGTGTAGGCTGAGCAGCTCTTTGGGAGGCTGAGGTGGGGGGATCACTTGAGGCCAGGAGTTTGAGATCGTGCTGGGCAACATAGTGAGACCTTGTCTCTACTAAAAATAAAAAAAAAAATTAGCTGGGTGTGGTGGCACACACCTGCAGTCCTGTCTACTCAGGAGGCTGAGGCAGAAGGATTGCTTAAGCCTAGGAAATTGAGGCCGCAGTGAGCTATAATCACACCACCGTACTCCAGCCTGGGCGACAGAGTGAGACCCTGTCTCAAAATAAAAAAAAAAAATAAGGAGTAGGTGCGACATAAACATATACATGTATACACAAACACACATTGAAATTGCTCCCTTGTATTAAAATAAAACAATGACAGGTATGTACTACAGTTGCGACTTGGTAAATTGCTTGAACTAATATCTCCATGGCTTAGATTTGTATTTGTCACTTCATGCTGCCAATGAATCCCGTCAGCTGGGAGCTCTCTCATAGGTACATCTTTTGGGCCACCTTCTGTGGTCCCTAAACCATTCTTTATGGAGCCAAATCTCTGACTTCCCAGTGATAGCTGTTTAAGCTTTGGTTATATTTCTTTGTATTTTTCTTTCCACATTCACCCAAATAGATTAATTATTACGTACCTTTCTTACTTTGTCCTGTCTGCTAGTGATAACACTGTCTATACTGGAGCATTCATGCCTGCTTCATAGGCAGGGCAAGGCATTTATAAACCACTGTGTGCAGGGCACAGAGGCTCAGATAATCTGTTACTTAAATAATAAAATGAAACAAGAAGCATTTTTGGAAAATCCTGAAAACAATTTAATTGCTCTAAAATAATTTACATGTGGTATATCTTCCATCTTGAGATTTTAGGAAGTCAGTATTCCCCAGTGAAGACACATATTACATAAATGATCAACTACCTAAGGATATCTCATTTGTATTTAAGATTCTTTGGGCACAACTGCAAGCGGAAAGGACTCTATCCCATGGACACAGGGTGTTTCTCCCCACCCTGGGCAGCTGGGCTTCAGGGAGGATGAAAATGGACCCAGGACGCAGGTGGCCTCTCTTTGGTTCTCATCTCTTTCTGCAGATCAGCGTTCTGTTTCTCAGATCCATGTGCTGGAATGTGGCTGCCCCACAGCTCCCAGGCGTACACAGATTCCCCTTTCAGCAGTCAACTTGCCTTTCTTTTTTTTCTTTTCTTTTTCTTTCTTTTGAGACAGAGTCTTGCTCTGTTGCCCAGGCTTGCGTGCAGTGGCATGATCTCAGCTCACTGCAACCTCCGCCTCCTAGGTTCAAGTGATTCTCCTGCCTCAGCCTCCCAAGTAGCTGGGATTACAGGCACGTGCCACCACGCCTGGCTAATTTTTTTGTATTTTTAGTAGAGACGGGGTTGCTTTTCTATTCCCAAGTCCAAAAGCCTATGAAGAGGGCCAGCGCAATGGCTCATACCTGTAATCCTAGCACTTTGGGTGGCCAAGACAGGAGGACTGCTTGAGGCCTCACGTCAAGTTCAACATCAGCGTGGGCAACAAAGTGAGACCCTGTCTCTACATAAAAGTAAAATCAAAAGTCTCTGGAGAGAATTGTGTTGGTCCAGCTCGGGTTAGTTGTCCATTCAACCGGTGATACAGGCAGAGTTGGGGAGTCATGGCTTCTGAAGCCCACAGTATCGACTGGGAGCAGGTCTCAGAGAAGCAAGAATCACTGTGAGCAAGGAGTTGCTTCAAATTAATAGCCTTACAAATCTATTAGAATACATCGATGGCAGAGAGCTTCTAGGGTAGAAGTTTGTACATGCAGGCCAAGGGGAACTAGAGAGGCTGACAAGACATATCTCTGGGGAGAGTACCGTAGCTTTCACCAGTGTTAAAGGGGACCCCAAACCTTGCATTAACAACCTTTAAGCCAGCACATGTGCGTGCATGCGTGCACACACACACGTAACTCGTTTTTTATAATACACAACCATCCTATTAACATGAGCTAAACAATCTAAACCATTTAGTTGTTGGGTAGTACAGAGTTATAGAGGACTGTCTGATATAACAAAATGTGGTTAAAGAAGAACTGAGAAATCTAACCTTTCATAATAAACAGCCATGAATCCAGCTCTAAGTACATTATATTTTATAAGACCTGATGATTTAAACAGATTAAATTATAAAAAACAACAATTGCCAAACTCAGAGAAAACTTAAAGAAAAATTTATTCTTAGAATTTGGGAATGTTTGTTCCATATAGATTGTTTAATTAAAATGTATTTGTTTCTTGATTCTGTTACAGATTGTTTAATTAAAATTTGTTTCTTGATTCTGTTATATACATGGAGAAACCATGTGAAAAGGGATGCTAGGATCTGAGTAAAAGACAAGGGTTTATAGTAAAAACTAATCTTTTATATAACTTTTGGGACCACCTTGAACCCTACTGAAATGTTATAGTTCTTCAACAATTCTAAATTTCATAAAGAATGTCAGGCCAGGTGCAGTGGCTCACGCCTGTAATCCCAGCACTTTGGGAGGCCGAGGTGGGTAGATCACCTGAGGTCAGGAGCTCGAGATCAGCCTGACCAACATGGTGAAACCCTGTCTCTACTAAAAATACAAAAAATTAGCTGGGCGTGGTGGCGCACACCTGTAATCCCAGCTACTCAGGAGGCTGAGGCAGGAGAATCACCTGAACCTGGGAGGCAGAGGTTGCAGTGAGCTGAGATTGCACCATTGCACTCCAGGTTGGGCAACAAGAACGAAACTCCATCTCAAAAAAATAAAACAAAATAAATGCCAGTTTTTCTGTGTGTATTATATTTAATATGCATTGCATTTTGAAATATTTTTTTAATTGTACAGGTAACACATGCTGATTGGTAAAATATCTTGCAATCTGCAAGACACATAGGCATAATCTTTCACATCATAATCTCCTCTCCAAAGGAGCTACTTTAAAAGTTTAGTTACATCTTTTTCTTCTAAAACTTTTTTAGAAAAAGTAAATGGCTTTACTAAAAAGCCATTTTTAGTAAAGATCTATCATATGATTTATAAACAATTTTAAAAATTCATCCATTACATTTTCAGGCTTTAGCATAATTTTCAATTCCTCAAAAACATGTCAGTGTGATTTTATTTTATCTATGTCTCATTTACTTTTCTGTAAGTAGATATAACTTTTCAAAAAGACAGTCAATTCCCCAACTTTTATGTCGTTCTTCAAAAGCATCAACCTTCTCAAGACAACGTATATTGCATATTTTACCTGAAACAAGAAAGAGTAACATGTTAAAATACTATGAAGAATGACATCAGGGATTCTTTTAAAAATACTCAAAATTGGCTGGGTGCGGTGGCTCACACCTGTAATCCCAACACTTTGGGAGGCCGAGGCAGGTGGATCACTTGAGGTCAGGAGTTCATGACCAGCCTGGCCAAGATGGTGAAACTCTGTCTCTACTAAAAATACAAAATGAGCTGGGTATGGTGGCACATGCCTGTAATCCCAGCTACTTGGGAGGTTGAGGCAGGAGAATCGCTTGAACCCGGGAGATGGAGGTTGCAGTGAGCTGAGATTGCACCATCGCGCTCTAGCCTAGGCAACAAGAGCGAAACTCCATCTCAAAACAAACAAACAAAACCTTGAAATTATTTTAAAAACAGTGTACACTAAACATTTTTCTCTTCTTTTTAATCAAAACAGAGGAATGCTAAGGGCAAATTTCCTGAACTCTGAATTGTTATTATCACTTTTAACTCCCAAGAGTAAAAATAAATACACCACTGGGCATGGCGGCTCATGCCTCTAATCCCAGTACTTTGGGAGGCCAAGACAAGAGGATCACTTGAGCCCAGGAGTTCGAGACCAGCCTGGGCAATGTGGTTAAACCCCATCTCTACAAAAAAATAGAAAAATTAGCTAAGCATTGTGGTGCATGCCTCTGGTCCCAGAAACTTGGGAGGCTGAGGTGGGAGGATCACTTGTGCCCAGGGAGGTCGAGGCTGCAGTGAGCTGTGATTGCACTTCTGTACTCCAGCCTGGGTGACAGATCAAGATCCTATCTCAAAAATAAACAAATAAAAAAAAATATACCATCTCTCTAGAAAAGTTCAAATACCTTTAACATAGAGCATATAGCATATATACAGAGCATATTTACAGAGATTAGTTCCTTTTCTAAGATAAAACAACTTTCAATAAAATGGTCTTTATCTTTTAAATTTTATAGACATACTCTAGATACTAATATACTAATAGTTCACAATAGGTTTTTTTTTTTTAGATGGAGTCTCACTCTGTTACCCACGCTGGAGTGCAGTGGCACAATCTTGGCTCACTACACTCTCTGCCTCCCAGGTTCAAGCAATTCCCATGCCTCAGCCTCTCAAATAGTTGGGACTACAGGCACATGCCACCACACTGGCCTAATTTTTGTATTTTTGTAGAGACAGGGTTTCGCCATGTTGGCCAGGCTGGTCTCGAACTCCTGGCCTCAGGTGATCTGCCCACCTTGGCCTCCCAAAGTGCTGGAAATACAGGCATGAGCCAGCACGCCAGGCCCAAAAGAGTTAACTTGACTTTGTTTAAAAAGTTACAGCATAAGTCCACAAACTTACCAAACAACCTTTCAATTTCAGCATGTGGAACATAAAATGGTGGACCTAGGTAAAAGAGAAATAAATTCTGAGTTTATTTCCAATGACGTAGGTGTACTTGTTCTACATACAACTTCATTATCCAAATAGGTGATGATGTGGCATGTTCTTCTCATTCTTCTTTTGCAAATCTCATACTAAAGAAATAAATTGACTTACTGAGAGGATGGCAATGTTACATCCCCATCATATCCATCTTTAGCTTAGATGAGACAGCTAAACCGGTCAAGGGACTTAGGCTCATTGAAATCAGAGTGGATTCCATCAGCAGATTCCTTGGGGGTTTCAACCATCTTCTAGCATACTGATTTTCTACCAACTCCTGCACTCACCCACATTTTATACACCCCTCCCGCTCTGCTGCAGGATATAGAGTATAAGGAAGCTGAGCTTCCGCCCCCTTCTAAGAGCAGTATCCTCAGACTCCACCTCCAGACAGGGCCTGCTGTATTTTCTTCCCAAAGGTTCTTTGTTAGGGCTTCTGTTCATTAATGGAATTTAAATCAGATTAGCAGAGCTAACTTCTGCCTCTATTAATTTCTATTTCCATTTGATTGTCTCTGATTTAATTAGGGACACTAGGTCTCATCTTTTAATGAGTTTTTAAGACCCCAATTTATTCAAGCAGAAACAAAATACTAGCTGGGAACGGTGGCTCACGCCTGTAATCCCAGCACTTTGGGAGGCTGAGGAGGGCGGATCACCTGAGGTCAGGAGTTCCAGACCAGCTTGGCCAACATGGTGAAATCCTGTCTCTACTAAAAATACAGAAATTAGCTGGGTGTGATGGCATACACTGTAATCCCAGCTACTTGGGAGGCTGAGGCAGGAGAATCACTTGAACCCGGAAGGCGGACGTTGCAGTGAGCCGAGATGAAACCACTGCACTCCAGCCTGGGCCACAGAGTGAGACTGTGTCTCAAAAACAAAACAAAACAAAAAAACCAAAATACTAACATATGTAAATATTTACAAAACAAGCATGTTAAAAAGCTCAGTTGAAAATCAAAAAGGTGACTCTTACAAATTAAAAGTCTATGTATTTCTCCAGCCATGACAAAGGTTAAGTTTCAATGTTTGAATGCATTAAAATGAGTCCAGGAGAAAACATACCCCCAACAGATTCAAAACAAATAAAAGAATGCAATAGATAGATTATAAAACTTCAGAAATTAAAAAAGGACAATAATTTAGAGTTTTTCCTGCACAACTTCTGCATCCCCATATTCACTTCTCACCCCGTGCTTGTGTATGTGAAGGCATCTGTCCAACACATCACTACCACTTGGGTGATACGGATATGCAATATCCAACCACATTCCTCCTTCTTCCCAATAGGACTCATGAGATTTCTCTTCTGTATCAGGATCATCCATTTCCCCGCTCTTCTCTAGTCTGAATTGTGAATGGTAAACAAAATGGGAAAGGAATACAAGAAAATCATGTACAATATAGAAGAGAAAAACATGCTTATAGTTCCCATTAGTCAAAACTGGAATTATCTCCATGTATATATGCAGTATGCTTCCTATGAGATAAATTAGGAGAAAATAATTCTTATCCATGTCATAGAATTTATATCAAGAAACTAGGCAACTGGTAAAAGAAAAAAAAAAAACCCAACAACTTTACCTGGATGTTTAGTTGGATCATAAGAAAGAACACACAGGAGATACTGAAACTTCTTTCCCAGGAGGGAAAACATTGTATCTGCATAGCTACAAAGAACACAAGAAGGTATTTGTTACATTTCTCTACACAGGCAAAGGCTGGAGGGACAAAAGGCAGGGAAGGAAGCCAGAAGTTACTTTCGCTGATACTACTGAGTTTAAATTCTCCTAATAATCACAAGAGGTTGATTCTCATTTTAAAAGTGAGAAATGGGTTTAGCAAATTATGGCCCCTGCCTAAGCTGGGAATTGGTCCAGATGGGAATCAAATCGAGGCCTGCTTCCAGAGCTGATCAGAGCAGAAGACATTACATAAGGATGGGTAGAGACTCCTTCTGGCCTGATGAGGTACTCGAGGGCCTGCTGACCTTGGATGCCTGTGTGCTTGAGGACAGTGGTTTCTAGACCAGGCTGGGTGTCAAAATCACTGGGGTGCTTGTTGAAAGAAAAGATGCCTGAGCTCCATCCCCACAGACCGATGCAGTTAGTTTGCCATGGGGCCTGGGATGCTGCAATTTAACAAATATCCTGGGTGACTGGGACCCCTCCAGGGGCCTTATGTAAGAGAAAACACAATTTTTTTCCTCTATTTAGTTAGAAATGAGAGTAACAAGCAGGCCAAAAAAAGGTGGCATGAAATTAAAGCTCTGCAAGTGTGGCATAAACCATGAGTGCAATGGAACTGTCCTTTGAGTAGGTGCCTCAGGGAGCCAGGTCTGATTGGCTCAGAGTGGGAAGCTGATGCTAACAGGACCCATCAATAGACTGAGCAGAAGCCAGGGCTGGACCAGGTACAGACGATGAGTTGACCAATCAGATGACTGACTTGGAAACTGAATTAAGAGACCAAAGAGGAATTGCTAATTAGCTGTGGTCCTACTGAAAGTTGGAGCTTTTGTATTGTATGGTGGTTGGAGCAAGGAGGCTGACCGTTGAAGGCAAGTCAGCTATGTGGGAATAAAAATGGAGGAAGCTGAGGGATAAGGAGAGGACAGGAGACGCATGCAGGGTGGTAGAGAGGCCATGAGAGACAGGCCAAGGACAAAGATGGACACCCTTCCCCACACTGAGGAAGGAGCCTGGGCTCTTGGCACTCCAGTTTCTATGGAGCCTGGCTAGACTGTGATCTATGTCCAGAGGTCTGCCAGAAGTTGGGGAGGCAAGTGCAGACTCTATGAGATGCCCAGGCTCAAACCCCAGCTCCTCTACTGACTGGCTATGTAAGCTTGACAAATTCTTAACCTTTCTGTACCTCAGTTTCCTCACCTGTAACATGAGGATAAGACTAATAACCACCTCACAAACTGTGAGAATTCACCAGTGGATCACTCTTCCTTGTAGGTGAAAGAACCACATCAAAGCAAACTTTTGAACAGAAACTGTTACTTTCTGATTCTCATTTTTCAGAAGAAACTTGCTGTCCCCATGAGGGGGATGTCAGACTGGTTTGGTAGGGTTTCCTAGGACTGAAAGACTTCATTCCTCTTAGAATGTGAAGTTTTTCTCTCTCAACCAGTCTCAAAAAGTCCAGAAAAATGAGGTCTGCCCTACTGGTTTACATTAGGCAAGAACTCGAGAGTCACAGCAGAAAATACATCAGTACTTGACAATGTACAATCTAAGGAGAAGACACCCAGTCCTAACGAAAGCACCAATATAATGTGCTAACATGGTAAGTACTGAGTACCAGCATGTAGATAAAGAACTAAGATACTAAGTACCAGCACATATATAAAATACTAACATAAGGCTGGGCACGGTGACTTACATCTGTAATCCCAGCACTTTGGGAGGCCGAGGTGGGCAGATCACCTGAGGTCGGGAGTTCGAGACCAGCCTGACCAACATGGAGAAACCCCGTCTCTAGTAAAAATACAAAATTAGCTGGGTGTGGTGGCGCTACTGTAATCCCAGCTACTCTGGAGGCTGAGGCAGGAGAATCACTTGAACCCAGAAGGCAGGGGTTGCAGTGAGCCGAGATCATGCCATTGCACTCCAGCCTGGGCAACAAGAGTGGAACTCCATCTCAAAAAAAAACCCTAAGATACTACCAGTACATAGTAAACTAATATCGCCCTTGCTCAGAGTGCAGTTCACTTCTTCCATTCATTTATTTAAACAACATTTATTAAGCTCTTACTAGGTGCTAAATATATATTATATCAGACACTGGGGAAATAACTGACCTCAGGTGATCTGCCCACCTCAGCCTCCCAAAGTGCTGGGTCCGCTCTTGGTCTGCACGTGGTGACTTTTAGTTTGCTTCCCACTGCTTGGTGGATTTTACCATGCCAACCAGAGCCTGTAGAAGGACTAACCTCTAAGGAATGGATGATCATCTTCAGGGAGTGGGAAACACCTACAAATTTAGACATTAGCAGATGGGGTTTCATATACAAATGTGTCTCACGGAGACAGAGGTCTCGGTGATATTTTGAGTTGTTAAAGGACACTGATGTCACATGGGAAGTGCAAAGCAGACACTGGACATGTGATGTGGATGTTTGGGAGAAAGAACAGAGCTGGAAATGTAAAGACTGTCAGAGCGAATACCATGTATAATCTGTTCAGTTACTTGCCCCGCCTCTGGCATACTATCTATTTGGAACATCACAGGAACTTAGTAAATATTTGTTGAATAGCTGAATGAAAGTAACAGAATTGATCTTTAAAGATTTGATTTTTCAGCCAGGCGTGGTGGCTTACACCTCTAATCCCAGCACCGGGTGGCCGAGGCGGGTGGATCAGCTGGGGTCCGGAGTTCGAGACCAGCCTGACCAACATGGAGAAACCCCGTCTCTACTAAAAATACAAAAAAATTAGCCGGGTGTGGTGGAGCATGCCTATAATCCCAGCTACCTGGGAGGCTGAGGCAGGAGATTCGCTTGAACCTGGCAGGCAGAGGTTGCGGTGAGCCGAGATAGTGCCATTGCACTCCAGCCTGGGCAACAAGAGCGAAACTCTGTCTCGAAAAAAAAGATTTGATTTTTCTCTCATAAAATTTTTTTTTCTTTCTGGTAGGACAAATATTGGCAATTTTTGGGTGAGAGCATAAGGCTGAGGATGGTGGTCCCTTGGGGAATCACGACTTTTAGGCATGCAAGGAGGATGGGAGTTCTGGAAAAGAGATAAAGGAGGAGCAGTGAGAAAAAGAGGGAAACAGGAGCATGAAAATTAAGATGCGGCATGGTCTAATTTAAAAAGATTAGGTTTGGCAGTAAGCCTTACTGATGAAACAATTTTTAAAAATAAAAATCTTATTTCACTGATGTGGAGCCTAACCTGTTTTTTTTTTGGTTGTTTGTTTGTTTTTTTAGATGAAATCTCACTCCGTTGCCCAGGCTGGAGTGCCGTGGCACAATCTCGGCTCACTGCAACCTCCACCTGCCGGGTTCAAGCAATTCTCCTGCCTCAGCCTCCCAAGTAGCTGGGGCTACAGGTGTGCGCCACCAAGCCCAGCTAATTTTTGTATTTTTATAGAGATAGGGTTTCACTGTGTTGGCCAGGCTGGTCTCGAACTCCTGACCTCATGATCCACCCACTTCAGCCTCCTAAAGTGCTGGGATTACAGGCGTGAGCCACTGCGCCCAGCCTCCTTTTTGGCCAAGTGATGAGTCTGCTCCATACAACTAAGTAATTCAATATTTCCATGCTATATCCAAGTAAGCACATAAATGACATTATTTTAATTGAAAGAGTATACAGATGTGGTCACATTTTACTCAGTATGCTTCCTCACTCATATTTTAATTTTATTTTCTAACAAGACTCGGTATAATAAGAATGGTCATCAAAAACATCAATAACAATGCTTCAATAATAACAGCTCTCATTTATACAGTTCTTTAGAGATGACAAGGTATTTCCTACATATTTCATTTCTTTCAATTCCCACAAAAATCCTTTGAGGTAGTCTAACAAAGGGATCATGAGTGTGGACTTTATTTTATTTCATTTTTTTGAAATGGAGGGTCGCTCTTGTCGTCCAGGCTGGAGTGCAATGGCGCCATCTTGGCTCACTGCAACCTCTGCCTCCTGGGTTCAAGTGATTCTCCTGCCACAGCCTCCTGAGTAGCTGGGATTACAGGCCACCACATTGGGCTGATTTTTGTATTTTTAGTAGAGATGGGGTTTCACCATGTTGGCCAGGCTGGTCTCGAACTCCTGACCTCAGGCGATCCGCCCACCTTGGCCTCCCAAAGTGCTAGGATTACAGGCGTGAGCCACCACACCCGGCCACAAGTATGGACTTCAAAGCCAAACACTCTGGTTTTGAATCTCAACTCTGTCACATACCAGCTGCTTAACTTTGGACAAGTAACTTAATCTCTTTGACCTCAGTTTCCTCATCTGTATAATGGAATAGTAGCTTATACCTTACAGAATTAAATGTTAAACCACATGAAATATTTTGATTTTTTTGTTTTTTTTTTTTTTTAAATATTTTACAGACAAGGTCTTGCTCTGTCATTCAGGTTGAAGTGCAGTGGTACGATCATAGCTCACTGCAGCTTTGAACTTCTGGGCTCACCCTCCTGCCTCAGCCTCCCAAGTAGCTGGGACTACAAGCACATACCACCACGGTCGGATAATTTTAAAAATATTTTGTAGAGGTGGCGTCTTGCTTTGTTGCCCAGACTGGTCTCAAACTCCTGGGCTCAAGTAATCCTCCTGCTTTGGCCTCCCACAGTGCTGGGATTACATGTATGATCCACCATACCCAGCCCACATAAAGTATTTTGAACAATACCTGGAATAGGCAAGTGACCAGTAAGTATTACCTGGTAATATTAGTGGAGGTGGTGATGATTGTGTTAGTATTACAGAAATATTCCCATTTTGCAGGAGTAAACCAAAGCTTAGAGAAGTTGAATACTTGGACCAAGGCCACACAGCTTGAAAGTGATTGAGCCACAAGCCTTATAGCCTTACACCCAGGTCTCTGTAGTCAAATCCTATACTTTTTAGACAAAGCTAGTATTGGATTTAGGTTTTTATAAATTCCAAACATAATAACCTATTTCAAACTCATAGAAGTCTAAGCTGATTTTCTAGAACCCAGAAAAAGTATAGTATACTAAAAAATTAAGACAGCTAAACAAAAAAAGAAAAATTACTTACCATTTGCGATCACCTGGATTGATGGCAACTAATGCTCCTCTATCCCAAATCATGTCAAATTTGCCAATATTTGTCCTACCAGAAAGAGAAAAAACATTTTATGGGAGAAAAATCAAATCTTTAAGAAGATGAGCAGCGTCCCCCATGGTGCATGCTGGTACTTCAACAATCGTCAAGGTATTAGGATCTCACGTCTGCGTTTCCTCCTAGAGGAATGTGTGGACCTGGGTGTGGAGAGCTGTCCATCCCCTCATGGTTTTAGGAGCCTGTGGCAGCAGCCTCCCCACTCTGTTATGATTTGGGGACATGAAGAAGGAACAAAGGACAGTGTGCAACAACTCTGCCCCCAGCCTCTGGCTCAGGTATCAGGGACTTTCAGGAGATGAGCTCTTATCTCCCTTGGCTACTTGAAATTCATTTCTATTACAGGCCCAGGTGCAAGGTAGAAGACACTGTCTTACTCACCTTTCTTTTTCCCTAGCTGCCTCAGTTTCCCATAGTTTGGGAGCTAACCAAAGACAAAACACATTAAAGTGTGCAGACGAGTGTGTAATAAAAATATCTGCAGAACAGACATTCAAAAAAATGCTTTGTGGATGTTACACAGGAGGAAGAGAGTGAGGAAGACACCTCCACTCCCATGCCTGCACTGCCTGGCAAGCATTCAAATTTTTTAAAGTGCAGATGTAGTATTCAACCTACCTGGGAAGATCAAAAATACTGCAACAGTACAATGAAATGTTCCCCGAAGAACTCTGTAATGAAATAATGAAAAAAAAATTTTTTTTTTTTACTTAGTAAGTACTTGAATAGTCAAGGAAAGAGGGCCAAGCAAAGCAAAAGTTCTAGGGAAAGAATGTGTTAATTAAACATAATTAAAGTAAATAATTTTACTGCACTTTATTGGCACCTTATTTTTTTCTTTTAAAACCTGTGCGAGGTTCTTTTGGGCCAACTCAGAGGAATATCACAGAGGACAACTTTGAAGATCAGTTGGCTGTTACTCACTTCAGAGCTTGCTATAAAATTCTAACAATGTTTCCTCGAGCAGAGTGATATTTTTACTCTGCTAAAGATAAATCTGCAGGTCAACCAATTATCAGGCAGGGTGGTACTGAAAAGTCAGGTATTTTAAGTTATTCCAGAAATGTGCAATTGTGCTGATTCTTCCATTTTTGCTCATTCATTCAGCCAATGAGCATTTATTTGCTGAGTACCTAATAGACAAGACATCTATCCTGGGTTCTTGACAGTAGATTTGAATTCGACACAGTCTCTGACCACAGTGAGGACAGACTAGAGCAGAGAAGCGTGGGCACAGAGAACATTACAATCCAGAATGGCCTGCTCTGTTGTGGTTCTGTGCCTGCGAACTATGTGAACACAGAAGGCAGAGCAGGGGCCTGCCTGGGAGCATCAGGGAGACTAAACAAAAGGTGACTTTTGGCCAGGTGTGGCAGCTTACACCTGTAATTCCAGCACTTTGGGAGGCTGAAGCAGGCAGATCGCTTGAGCCCAGGAGTATGAGACCAGCCTGGGCAACATGGCAAAACTCCAACTCTACAGAAAAAATTAGATGGGTGTGGTGGCACACACCTGTAGTTCCAGCTACCTGGGAGGCTGACATGCGAGGGTCACTTGAGCCTGGGAGGTCAAGGCTGCAGTGAGCTGTGATTGTGCCACTGCCCTCCAGCCTGTGTGAGAGTAAGACCCTGTCTCAAAAACAAACACTTGGAGCAAAATAATCCTAAAAAATAAACAACAACAACAAAAATCAAGAGAATAAAACAAAAAAAGAGGTGACTTTTGAAAGGGTGACACTCTAGGGTGTGGACTGGGGGCACACTCCAAGAGGGGGCAATATAACATAGACTTTAGGATCCTGGGAGCTGGGGTGAAGGGCAGTGTAGGAAAGGTGTGTCAGCACACAAGACTGCTAGATTTTATTCTGAAATGAGGTCCCCACACAGGTTTACAAGTAGAGGAGGAAGGGTCTTTGACAACCAGCCTGGGATCACTGGGTCAGCCCAGAGATGGGTGGGCCTGGAGGCAGGAGAACAGCTGGATCTCAACTTTGCCTGCAGATTGGAATCAAGGGGAGCTTTAAACAGTACTGATGCCAGGGCCCTACCCCTATAGATTCTGATATAATTGGCCTGGGGTAAGACCTTTGGATTGGGAATTTTTATAAGATCCAGAGATGATTTCAAATGTGCAGCCTGGGCGGGGAACTGCTGCTCCAAGAGGGGCCTGGAAGCAGGACTAGCCCTTTTTGGACTGAGTAAACTCCTTGGATTCTTTAATGCTTTGAGAATGAGGTGGGAGGAAGATGTGAAATAAAAAATACCATCAAGCTTCCTACTGATCTGAGCAACAATTTTTTTTTTTTTTTTTTGAGACAGAGTCTTACTCTCTTGCCCAGGCTGGAGTGCAGTGGTGCGATCTTGGCTCGCTGCAACCTCCACCTCCCAGGTTCAAGCGATTCTCCTGCCTCAGCCTCCAGAGTAGCTAGGATTATAGGTATGCACCACCACAGCCAGCTAATTTTTGCATTTTTAGTAGAGATGGGGTTTCGCCATGTTGGCCATGCTGGTCCTGAACTCCTGACCTCAAGTGATCCACCCACCTTGGCCACCCAAAGTGCTGGGATTACAGGCATGAGCCACCATGCCCAGCTGAGCAATTAATTTCAATATTTAGAAAAGAGTACTTTGTGAGACACTGAATATACAGATGGACAATAGATCCTATATGACAATACAACTCTGACCCCACAACTGATTCAGGAGTTAAGAAGAAATTACTAAGGCAGATAGGGAGGATACGGAAGGTTTTCCTCTTAATGAAAAGCAGCCTCAAATCATTTTTCCTTTCTAACAAAGAGCAGCCTATAAAATCGAGCTGCAGACATAGATGCCGGCAGTTTGTGCCAATCATGTTCAAAATGGTGGCTCTATCTTCCCTTCTCTGTCAGCCACCTGTAGAGTAAGAAGCAGACAACATGGTGCCAGCGAAGGGAAGAGTTCATTTGCATAATAAGATTAGGGTGGGGCGACCAGCCTTCCCAGCACGTTATGTAAACATCACACTTGATCAAACCAATCTGTGAGCCCTATGTAAATCAGACACTGACTCCTCAGGCTGCACTATAAAATCCGGCGCTTCTACACCTGGCAGGTTTTTTCCTCTCGGAAGTCCCCTCTCTCTCACTAAAGAGAGAGCTGTTTTATTTTCTCTTTCTCTTTTTTTTTTGCCTATTAAACCTCCACTCCTGAACTCCTCATGTGTGTCTCTGTCCTAAATTTTCCTGGCACAAGACGACGAACCTGGGGAATTTACCCCAGACAAGGTAGCCACTTCACAACCTCTGCAGTGACTTGGTCAATGACTGCCAGCTTCCCTGATTTTTACTACCACACTTCTTCCAATTTAGGATCAGCCAGAGAAAGGCAAACATGCTCCCCAAACCAATCACATAGGATGCCCCGTTCCTAGTTGCCCACCTCCAGCTTCCCTGTGCCAACAGCCTCGCAACAGCACATGCCGGGAGCTTTTACTTTTGTCCACTTTTAAGCTTCCCCACTCCTCTGCCTGCCTTTGAGTCTCTGCCAGATTCTCTCTGCTTGTTCCCACTTGGGTAGTGTTTGTTTATTTACACTGGCTCATTCTGCTCACAGCATAAAGACCACTCCCAAACCTATCATTTTGAGCCCAAACCTCACTCCATGCTTCAGACATAAAACCTTCACCACTCCACAGGTCCCTTAAACTCATCATCTCTAGAAAAAGATTCATTCTTTCTGCCCTTCTCATTTATTCTTGACCATCCAGCCAGTCATCTGAGCCAGAAATGTGAACTCATCGCTCCTTTGGTCCTCATTCGGTCACAGAATCCTGCGGGTCTATCGTAAATGTTGCTTTAATCCATCCTAACCACTCTCTATGCCCCATCACTCTCCTTGCTCAGGGATTCATGATGTCTTTCCTGGACCACTGCCATAGCCTCCTGTCTCTCTGCCAGGAGGCTACTTCCCTTCAAATCACTTCCTATGAGGCCTCATGGGTGATTTAAGTAGTATCTTCCCGAGGTGTCCAAGACCATGGACCCAGGCCCTGCCTGATTCCAGCTCTATCTGTCACCATGCTTCAGGAAGCACCGCCAGGTTGGGCAGGTAACTCCCATCTCTTCCCTTAATACCCTGTGTCTTTACACTTAGCTCCATGCATTACAAATAGCTTTGTCCCTGTTTCTCTTCTCTCCTAAACTAAGAGATTCTTTAGGGGTGGGAGTGAGGGGGGTGTGCTGTGTTATCTTTATCTCTTCAATGTCTTAGGCAGGGTCTGGCACATGATGGGTTCTCAGAAAATGCGTGTTAATAAAAATAAAACAAGCCTAAAAGCTTGAGTACAGAGAGGCTTTGACCTCAGCTTTTATATACATATGTCTATACCTATTTAGGTAGCTATCACCTATATTTTTAAGCCCTTGCTTCTTATACTATATAGTATCTACAGTGAATCTGCGTGCTAAATAGGAACCATCGGACACATGAATGGTATCCTCATAATACTCACACTGAGAAAAACTTTTGTGGGGATATGGATACAATTATTTACCCAAATCAAAACAAACCTTAAATACTTTGGTTCCAGGAATTTCGGTGATTGGTTCTTCTGAGTAAGAAAGATTCTGCTCTGTAAAAAATTCTTGTATCCCAAGTTCACTGATTTCCACACCAACTACACTGTGTCCCCGGTCTGCAAACCTGCATAAAATCATACATTTACACTTAAATTATGTTTTCAAATGACTAAATAGAGGGTTATATTAGAGTAAGCATATATTTTCTTTAATTTAGAGGAATTTATATGAATTCAGGTTCATAGGGTTTCAAAGAACATGCAGGAAAGCAGATCTATATTATTTTCAAACCTTATAAAAATTCTGAAAAACTGACTTATATGAATTCAGGAAACAATAAAAATTTGGAAAATTATATATATCTTTTTTTATGTATGAAACAGTTGGAATGTAATTATAGATATATAACAAAATACTGATTTAATACAAATTGATTTGACTAGAGGAAATGCTTTTCAATTTCTCTAAATCAGCACTGCCCATTAAAATTTTCTGCATTGATGAAAATGTCTATATCTGTCGCTGTCCAATAAAATAGGCATTAGCCACATTGGTTCCTCGTGATTGAGGAACTGAATTTTACATTTTATTTAGTTTACATTTAAATAGCCACATGTGGCTAGTAGCTACTGTACTAAAGTGAACAGGTCTAGAACATTAGCACTCATTTGTATACTAATCTTGTAGTTTCCATTTGCTTAAAATAAACACTATCCAAAAATTTGTATATTTTATCATATACAAATAGCATTGTCCTGGTAATTTTATTTATTTATTTATTTATTTTTGAGACGGAGTCTCACTTTGTTGCCCAGGCTGGATGGAGTGCAATGGCACAATCTCGGCTCACTGCAATCTCCACCTCCTGGGTTCAAGCGATTCTCCTGTCTCAGCTTCCTGAGTAGCTGGGATTACAGGTGCCTGTCACCATGCCTGGCTAATTTTTGTATTTTTAGTAGAGACGGGGTTTCACCATGTTGGCCAGGCTGGTCTCGAGCTCCCGAACTCAGGTGATCCACCTGCCTCAGCCTCCCAAAGTGCTGGGATTACAGGCGTGAGCCACCACACCCGGGCTTTTCCTGGTAATTTTGAGGAAAAGAGGAAAATTTTTTCCTCAAAAAAAATTTTTTTTTTGAGACAGAATCTCACTCTGTCAGCCAGGCTGGAGTACAGTGGCACAATCTCAGCTCACTGCAACCTCCACCTCCCGAGTTCAACCAATTCTCCTGCCTCAGCCTCCAGAGTAGCTGGGATTACAGGTGTGCCCCACCATACCCGGCTAATTTTTGTATTTTTAGTAGAGACGGGGTTTCACCGTGTTGGCCAGGCTGGTCTCGAACTCCTGACCTCAAATGATCTGCCTGCCTCAGCCTCCCAAAGTGCTGGGATTACAGTCCTGGTAAGTTTTATAATGAACAGAATTCAGTCTCAGGATCTTGGACTCAAGAGAAAACAGTACCAGTGGTACAAATATCTAGGCACAGTTATGATTTTATGTCAAGTGAAATAAAAACATAGTTCTGCTATAATGTAACAAGTGCCTTCCTAAAATCACTGCACTATGCTAAATCACGCACTAAAAATCCCCAGGCTGGTGGGGAAAGTGAGGGCACAGCATTTAAAAACTTGGTCAGTGCCACATTAAAAAACAAAAACAGGAACCTAATAATAACAGTTTTATACATGTTAAATGGTTGAGAAATAGATAAATACTACAATATGGCACTTTACGGTGAAAAAGACCTAATGCTCACTAAGGTAGCTGGGGGATGTTGGTGCATTCCATCTATTCATACCTGGTTTAGTTCAACTGGGTGCAGTTTTCTGCTTTTACCTAAGGCTTCTTATAGATGAAATCACACACAAGCAAATGTGAAATTTATTTCATGCTCAAATTTTTCCCTAATATATCAATTGAGTTAGAATTCAGTTTTGAAACAAGTATAGCAGGACTGACTGTACCTTTTATCTACAAAAGAGTACGTACTTTCAATGTGGGCAGAGCATGAACTGTTTAGTTGTAAAATGAAACATATAACTTGTCTTTCATCTTTCGTATTTCTTAGGATATCTGTAAACATACAGGGAGTTTAAAAATTCTCCCTACATTTTTTAAGTTATAAAATGTAAACAAAAACATTATTCAAATTGGCTGTATGTGTTTTTATTTCCCATTCAACAGATGGAAAAATGAAGCATAGCCTACTACAACCTGTAATAAAAACAAAATAAGACCAAGTGTGGTGGCTTATGCCTGTTATCCCAGCATGTTGGGAGGGAGGATCTCTTGAGCCCAGGAGTTCAAGGTTGCAGTGAGCTATGATCATGCCACTGCACTCCACCCTGGGTGACAGAGTGGGACTGTCTCAAAAAACCAAAAACCTAAACCTAAATATCTTAAACATTTTGTTTTAATGCTTTTTGGCCTTAGCTCATGGTCAGTTTTTCTATTCACATCTCATGTCTGTATAGACCTCAATACATAGATCAGTTACATAAATGAAAAATCATCTACTATCATAACTTCTTAACTTCTTACATGTAATTACAGTAGCTCAGTTCATATATATATATACATAAAAATAACTGTATTTACGTATATATACATATATATATATTTTTTGGAGACAGAGTCTCACTCTGTCACCTAGGCTGGAGTGCATGGGCTCATTGCAACCTCCGCCTCCTGGATTCAAGCAATTCTCCTGCTTCAGCTTCTCAGGTAGTTGGGATTACAAGCGTACGCTGCCATGCCTGGCTAATTTTTGTATTTTTAGTAGAGATGGGTTTTCACCATGTTGGCCAGGCTGGTCTCGAACTCCTGACCTCAAGTGATCCGCTCACCTAATTAAAGGTGTGAGCCACCGCACCTGGCCAGTTCTGATATTTTTTGTAATGTCTTTATTACAAATGGCTTTAGACCCCAAATATTCAACAATCACATTTAATTGGCTATTTCATACCATTTTCCTAATGTTGCCTCAGAACCTGTTTGTACTACATTGTTACCATTTATGGTGACATCACATGACAATCTGTTTATAGAGTTAATTTTTTTTGAGGGTAATTTTGAAAGTAACTATCTCTTCTGGCTCAATGAATTGGTTAAAATATATGTCATAATATAGTTTAAATATTCTCAATTTCATGACCACACTTGAATCTTAAAGTCATAGCAGCCCTCTAACAAAGGCTCTCAGCTACAGTTGATTGGTTGCTGGCTGCAAAAATTCTATCATCTCTACTTGAAAATCAACTCCCAAAAAATGCATGCATACTCTGCGTTAGTCACCGATATTTATATTCAGAATAGACCATTTTTTAGGTTATTATATTTTACATTTATTAATATTTTATTTTAAATTTATTTTTTGAGGCAGGGTCTATGTTGTCCAGACTGGTCTCAAATTCCTGGGCTCAAGAGATCCTTCTGTCTTGGCCTCCCAAAGTGCTGGGATTACAGGCGGAGGCCACCACACCTGGCGCATTTACTAACCTTTTCATACATTCTTTTTTCTTTCCTGCTCAGTGGTCAAAGTTCTCAACATTCAAGCTTATAAATAAATGCATATCTTGGCAGGTATGATTGTATCTGTATATTATCATTACAAGAGAGTTCAGTATAGAGAATGATGTCGAGGTGACTTTAGGGTAACTCATAGTAAAAGTGGCTTGTTAAAGTGAATTCTCTTTGTAGAGAATTACTCACAAGAAATACTTTCTTAATCACTGGTTTTATAACAATGATTCACGATAACAGAAACTCCTGTGTTCCCTGGTGGGAGGGGAAGGTTGAGCTGAACTGTGGACTATGAACATTGTCCTGCCAAAAAGCTGTAATTCATTTTGAATTTCTCTGTCCACCACCATTTCAAATATCTAAAAATTAACTTAGCTAAATTCCTAAACCACCTACAAAAACTGAACCACATACAAGGATCCAGGAAATGTAAAAGGGAAGGCTGTTTTTTCTCCCCCCATTGGCTCCAAACTGATTTTTTAATTTCAAAACTCAATCCAGAAAGACTTCATACCTGTTTCTGTTGTTTCTTACTGTTTGAGAATATTATTTCCAATTATATACCCATCACTAATAGAAAAATAAGGAATTTCTGTGTATTTCCTGAAAATGGAGTTTTAAAACTCACATCCTGTTAAATCACCCAAAGAATTCATCATTAAGGCAAGATAATTCTGTTAATGTTTATCTGCTCATACCATTTCATCTCAACCGCTTTTCCGCAAAGAGGAAAAAATACCCTCAGTCCACTCTTGCCTTTAAGGAAAGTATCTAAATGCTTCTTTAATAGCCTGAAGAGGAAAAAAAAAAAGGTTTTAGGACAATTGTATGGTAGGTGAACACTTTTCATTCATTATCTCACTTAATATTCCCAACAACCTTAATAAGCAGTTACTATTAATTATTATAATCTCCAGCTTACATATGAAGAAACAGGTAACTTGCTCAGACACACACCCAGTCAGTGGTAAATCTGACTTACACCCAGGGCTTTCCTGATTAGTAATTAAAAATAATTTTTTTTTCTTGGGGATGTTTTGAAAATTCTTTATTAATTCTCTAAATATGTACTATTTTGGGGGTGATGGAGCCTCTGGAGCCATGGATTTTTCAACATTAATTTCATGGTACGTTCTCTAAACGTGTACTCAAGCCTCGGAAGTAAACCTGAGAAGTGTAACTCCTGTAGTTTCTTGTAATTCCCTCTGTGGAGATGTGGCTCTTCTAAGGCCATCCACATGACAGAAATAACCCAGTGTTTCTGGTATGATGATGATGATGATGATGATGTCATCTCCTGGGGAGATGGGCGTGGCTGCCCAGAACAAGGAATGTCTCTAACAACCACTTTACTCAGCACTGGTCCCATGATTTATTGCTGCTATGAAGACTACTACTACATTGCACAACATCCTAACTCACTTTATAATTTCTCGCAACTTCTTTTCTCCCACCATAGAGATAATTCTTTAACATCTGAACACATCCTATTGGAAAGCAAAGTCAGACACCACTGATTTTCAGTATGAAGAATTGTAAGCATAAACATTGCTTGAGCACCTGTTGTAGGTATAAATATTCAGGGCCAATACATAGGTGCCGTAGGGATCAAAGAACATATTTTATAAATCTAAGATGTCATCATTTGTAAGCCACACCATTATTTACACACTGTGGGAAGAAAAGACTCTGCCAATTAAACTACATCATGCCACAGATGCACTGTGACTCGGGAGACACAAAAATGTGAAGAATTAAATGTGCATCCTAAAAGTTAGTCAAATAATGTGTACTTTTATTATTTCTATCTCAAAGTCACTTTTTGATAGAACATTTCTCTATTGTATACCAAATATTTCTTACTGATGTCCTTGTTCCTGATGAAAAGCAGTCTTGCCGTTCACCCACTTGTCTTGCCATTCTTCCAGAGTTAGTACTTGGTTTTTCTGTACCTCAGTATCCGAGTACTCTTCAATGTCAAGTGAAGTTCTTGTACCATCCATAGTTTCAGAGACACCTTTGTCTCACAAGCATATGTCTTCCGTGCCTACGTGGAAAATATTTGCAATGTTGTCATTTAAGGTCATTGGAATTCTATTGATGAACTAAATGAAAACCTATTATTCTTAGCAGTATGACTTTTTAAAAATATTTCTTTCTTTTTTTATTTCTGGTTTTATTTTTGAGATGGAGTCTCACTCTGTCTCCCAGCCTGGGGTACAGTAGTGTGATCTTGGCTCACTGCAACCTCTGCCTCCCAGGTTCAAGCAATTCTGCTGCCTCAGCCTCCCAAGTAGCTGGGACTGCAGGTGTGCACCATCATGCCCAGCTAATCTTTCTTTCCTTGTTTTTTTTTTTTTCAGAGACAAGGTCTTGCTCTGTCACCCAGGCTGGAGACCCTGGCTTACTGCAAGCTTCAACCTCCTGGGCTCAAGCGATCCTCCCATTTCAGCCTCCCAAGTAGCTGGGACTTCAGGTACACACCACCACACCTGGTTAATTTTTGTATATATATATTTTTTAATAGAGATGGTTCTCATTTTGTTGTCCAGACAACAAAGAACGCCTGGGCTCAAGGGATCCTTCTGTCTTGGCCTCGCAAAGCACTGGGATTACAAGTGTGAGTCACTGCACCTTGCCATTTCAACATCCAATAAGAAGTGATAACAAAAAATTACTTTCAGTGCGTCTGGTGGTAGAATAATACCCCTTAATACACATTACAAGAGATCATTAAATAAACTGAATTCTATCTTAATATTAGTGTTTCCTCTGCTCTCACACCCCAATCATCAACACACAAGATTTCTGTGACCAAATGTGGGGGTTCTTCCCCCAGCACACCAAATATTGGACACCAGTTGGGTATCTTCTGATTTAATTCTGACATTACCTACCTGGAGATAGTGTCAGATTCTATATGTTGGGGGCTCAGTCCCTAAGATTTCCCTCCTCACTTAGACACCAGTTGCAAGTCCAGGCCTCCACTGGCTTCAAGTTGGGGTTCCCACACCCTCCACTTTGGGTTTGCTTAATTTGCTAGAGCAACTCACAAACCTCAGAGAAATACTTAGTTATCTTTGCACATTTATTATAAAGGATACTGCGAAGAATATACTTGAAGAGATGTGTTAGCTACAGGACCTTCACCTGTTGAGCTATTAGGAGGCTCTCCAAACCCCATCCTCTTGGGTTTTTATGTAGGCTTCATCACGTAGGCATTATTGTACTTACTCCTAATTCAACTCTAAATTCTGCCAATTGTCCCAATTTCCTATCAGTACACAGTCAGTCTCTCCAGTCATCAGCTATACTATCAATATCATCTTGGAGAATTCTCTCCTGGAATCTGCCCTGATTATTCTCTAATCTTGGTAGACAGCTAGCTTTCTGGGATCGCTCTTCATCATCATTCTGGAGATTTCCTTCTTGTCTGAATCTCCAGCTTTATTTCATGTCTTCCTCTTTTTTTTGTTGTTATTTTTTAGTGACCACGCTTATATTGGTGAAGCCTAACCTCCAGAGCTTCCTGAAAGAGCACAAGGAAGAAAAAGAATGTTTTTCCATTTTGCATGTATAAAACACGGTTAGACTATTCCTCATCCTTGATGCATAGCTCTGCTGGGTATCAAATTCTTGGTTAGAAGTGTGGGGGCCATAGGGGGTTGGGCACCCTAAAGGTTTAGTGAAGAATCACGCCCACCTCAGCCTCCTGAGTAGCTGGGATTACAGGCATGCACTACCAGGTCCAGCTAATTTTTGTGTTTTTAATAGAGATGAGATTTGACCATGTTGGCCAGGCTGGTCTTGAACTCCTGGCCTCATGTGATTCACCAGCCTCGGCTTCCCAAAGTGCTGGGATTCCAGGCGTGGGCCACTGAGCCTGGCCATCCCTCTGCTTTTTTTATTTCTCCTTCTGGGACCCCTATTATTTGTCTCTAGAATCTTCTGACCCGGTATGGTAAATTTCTCATTTTTTTCTATTTTTCTATATCTTCATGTTTTTGTACTATTTTCTGAAAGATTTACCTTAATTCTCATTTTTTTAACTTCTTCTCTCTTTTTTTTTTTTTTTTTGCTATCAATCACCCAGTGCTTTGGGCGACCAAAGTGGGAGGATGGCTTGACGCCTGGAGTTTGAGACTAGCTTGGGCAACATAGTGAGACTCCATCTCTACAAAAGCAGTTTTAAAATTGGCCAGGCATGGTGGTGCATGCCTGTAATCTTAGCTACTCAGGAGGCTGAGGCAGGAGGATGGCTTGAGCCTAGGAGTTCGAGGCTGCAGTGAGCTATGATGGTGCCACTGCACTCCAGCCTGGGCTACAGATCAAGACCTTGTCTTAAGAAAAAAACAAAAAAAAGAATAGGTATAAAATGAATGAAGGCAAAGAATGTGGGTGGGGCTTATAATGTAGGGTGATGTGAGTGGATTTCATTTGGAAACCTAGATTTATTTATTTATTTATTTATTTATTTATTTATTTATTTATTTATTTGAGGCAGGGTCTCGCTCTGTCACCCAGGCTGTAGTGCAGTGGCACAATACAGCCTCAAACTTCTGGGCTCAAGTGATCCTCCCGCCTCAGCCTTTAAAGTATCTGGGACTGCAGCTGCACACCCTCATGCCTGGCTAATGTCTTTAATTTCCTTGTGGTAGTCAGACTTTCCATAGATGGATCTCCCAATTCCTGTCTTAAGGATTCTGTCGTTGGAGCCACTGTCATATACTCATATAAGAAAAGAAGAGAAGTGGGCGAGGGTCCCAGCATCCAGTTTGCTGTATTCAATTAATCCTCACGTTTCCTGTATACTCCCATGCTCAACTGTGTATCATATCTTCTCAGTCTAGACAGACACTCTTTGTTTTACCCTTTCCAGAGAATAAATCCCCAAAGCCTGCTGGTGTGGTGAGATGTACACACTTGGTTGCAAGAAGTTGAGAAAAGGATCTGGGGATTTGGCCTGTTCTGAACCAGCATTTCAAGCAATCCTCCTTGTTTCAACCATACTCTCACACTTTATGGAGGTACCTGGTGCTGCTAATCCTGAGCATTTGGGGATTCTGTATTGCAAACTGGGCTGCTCAATGGCTTTTCTCATTGCTGGTTTAGAATTCAGCTTCCTTGAAGTTGCAAAATCCTTTCCCACTTGTCCATTTGCCTTTCCAAAATTTTACTAATTTTGTCTCTCCTGTCCTGGCTATCCTAGTACTTTATGCCTTAAAAAAAAATTCTGTTATTTTCAGGAGACAGCAAAAACAGATTAAAGTAGATACTGAACCATAGTTCAATATCCTATCTCTACTCCACACATTTGTATTTTCAAATAATTTTCTACAGCTTCTTTTTTTGCATGGGAAATGCACACTAAGGAAACTGAAAAAAGACATGTACAATGTAAACTAACAATAAAATTCAAAGCCTCTCAACTGACTGAAGGCACACTTTCTTTCCTTTTCTTTCTTTCTTTTTTTTTTTTTTGAGATGGAGTTTCGCTCTTGTTGCCCAGGCTGGAGTGCAGTGGTGCGATCTTGGCTCACTACACACTTTCTTGGCTAACGGGACCCCAGAGTAACCTTGAAAACTGAGTTCTGGGCCAAGAGTAGATAGAGCGTCAGATACAACTCTATACCTCCTCTCTTGCTAACCACAATTAGGCTTTGTTCTATAAGGACTTAAGGGAAACCAGCCCTTTCAAAAGATTCTACCACTGATATCAACCAACCCCCTGATGCTGCCCCTCCTTTTGTGCCTGATAAGAGATCACAGACCACAGAATGGTTCTGGCCAGTCTACTGAGAATGCACAGTAAGGGTTTTTCTGTCCTCTGCTTCACCTTTTGATATAAGAGGGCCAAAAACTCCATCCTGTGATTGTGGTAACACCGCCATTTTTTGTGCATGGTACCCATGAAGCTCAATTACTCATGGGTACTTTCCTCCTTTCATAAATATTCATGAGTCATCCTACAGCTTACTGAATATGTATATTTGGCCACCTTCCTCAGCATAAATTCCTGTTCCCTTTGCCCCTCCCTGGAAGTGTCAGTTTCTGGCTTCTGGCCTGCGGCTACACTTCTCAGCCAGTCAGAATGGCTGCTCTACAGTCTGAAACCATTCATGAGAAAGAGTTCTCCTTTCTAAATTATGAACTTCTCATTCTTCAGCTGACAGACCATAACTGCAGATCCATCTGAATGTATGAGGAAAATGCCTTTCCTTTCAATGTCAACTCTGCAATATTAAGGACAATATAACACCATTATTCTAACATTCCCTTTAAATCATTAGTGAAACTAGTTTGGATTATACTAGCATGCTATTATTGGTGGTTCTAATTTAATGATTAATCTGTGAAATAGCAAACATTGCATAAAAGCATGTATTTCAGGCAAATTTCCCCTTTTGTTGCCAAATTTGGCCTCAGTATGCTTAGGATATAGGGAGGAGGCATTTCTCTCATTACCTGGGAACATGAATTCACTTCTTAGCAAATATTTGTTGACAAATGGCTTCTGCAAGACCCTGATGGTATCAGGAGGTGACTCTGAGTTTTCTGAGAGGTCAGTAGAAAGTATCTGATTTATATTGGGTACAGAAAAGCAAAAGAATGTTGCAGTTTTCTCATTTTCATTCAGAAACTCTGGAACCTAAATTCAAGGCTTCATAAAGCAGTTCTCTACTTAAAAGAGAAGCATAATCTTTATCAGAGTTCCACAGCAGCCTGGAGTAGCACAACTCTATTCCTTTCACACAAACTTGAACTGTCTAACAAAATCATGCACATAACTTAATCATGTCTTAGTTGTTTGTTTTTGAGACAGGGTCTCTCTCTATCCCCCAGGCTGGAGTGCAGTGGTGTAATGACACTTCCGTCTCCAACACTGGGGCTCAAGCGATCCTCTCACTTCAACCTCCTGAGTACCTGGGACTATAAGGGTGCACCACCATGCCTGGCTAATTTTTAAATATTTTGTAGAGACAGGGTCTTGCTATGTTACCCAGGCTGGTCTCAAACTCCTGGGCTCAACGTCTTAGCTGTTCTAACAGTTTCTCAGCATGGACTCCACTTGTATACATCATTTCTAGAGAAATAAAGTTTATTTCTATAATACAAAAAAAGTGCACATTACAAGAATTAAGGAAGGGAAATTTCACAAAAATTTCTGCCCACAAACAAAGTCCTCAAGTTGTTCTAGTCTCCATTCTCACCTTTTCAAAAGCTTCTGCTATAGTTTTGTTTTTAAATTTCATAAAATTGAGAAGAAACTTTCCTAAGGTGCACACATCTTAAAAGAGTATGACTCGGTGAATTTTTTACATATACATACACCTGTGTAACCACCGCAGAGCAAGACAGAATATTTACAGCACCCCAGTTTCCCACATCACCAGGGATCACTCACTATTTGGCAGTACTTATTTTTTCCCAAAAATCACTAATACACCAGGCTGGGGAAAAAACCGAGAGTCCGTTTCTATAAAAAAAAATTTGAAAAATTAGCCAAGCGTGGTGCAGCGAGCCTGTAGTCCCAGTTACCGAGGAGGCTGGGGCGGGAAGATCACTTGAGCCCAGGAGTTCCAGGTTACAGTGAGCTATGATTGTGCCACTGCACGCTAGCATGGGCGACAGAGGGAGACCCTGTCTCTAAAAGAAAAAAGAAAAAAAAATAATTAAAACACACCAGTGCTTTGGAAGCACTTTAAATCCTGGACATTGGATTCAGGTCATTTACTGTCCGACCTCGTTATTCCCAGTTTCCGCTTCTGCCCTGAACCCCACTTCACAGGGCTGATTGCTAGGCTGTCTACGCTTGTAAGAATTCCTGGGAGCCCTAGCACGGGCGCATACACTCCTAGCAAATCGTTCCCTTTCTCACCCGCACCCTCCGCGCCCGAGTGAGCCTACCTCGCTTACAGCTGGTTGCCGGCCATTGCCTCCGCCACCAATGACGTCCCCAGGGGCGGGTACGCCTCCGCTTCCACCTCCGCCACTTCTCCGCGCCCCGCCTCCGCCCGCGCCCCGCCTCCGCCCGCGCCCCGCCTCCGCCCGCGCCCCGCCTCTTTCCCGCGCCCCGCCTCTTTCCCGCGCCCCGCCTCAGTTCCCGCCCCCTCTCCCGGCGCCCCGTCTCCACTCCCGCCCCGTACCTCGTTGCACAGACTCCACCCACTTCCCCAAGCGCCGGGGTTTGCGCAGCGGCGGAAATGGGCAGGGCGGAGCGAGCGCTGCGGCTAAAGCGAAGGCGGGGACCCTACCCATCCCTAGTCCTGTCGGCTCCTCCCACCCCGGGTCACGCCGTGACAGGGGCGGAAGCGGCGGCGGCGGCGGCGGCCGAGAAGAGGCTGGGGCTCGCGGCGCGGCTGCAGCCGTCCTGTGCGCGCGGCGCGCGGCTCCGGAGAGGCGCCCGCAGTCCAGGGCGGCGCGCACCGCCTCGCTGGCGCTCAGAGGTGGGAGGCTCCCCACTCCGGGGGCGTGCGTGGGGGCCGTGGCGGATTTCGGGTGACAGCGTTGCACAAAGCAGCTTGGTTGGGGTGCAAGCCCTCCCTTTCCCCCTGTGCAGCGCCCCTCGCCGTGGTGGGAGGTGGGCGGGTGCCCCAGGGACGGATACCTCCTGCCCCGGATTAAAAGAGGGTGCGGGGTGGGTATCTGTCTGAAGAAGGGGGAATTCCCGGGCTAGGGTGTTGGGGCGTGGGGTCGCCGGGTTCGTCGCGATGTTGCCGGTCGGCTAACCCCCCTACAATGTTTCCTTTCTGTACAGCGGTGCCTTTTCCCCGAGACTCCCGGCACCTCTTCAGCGCAAAGGTGAGCCCCGGGGCAGTTGCTTCTCCGACTTCGAAAAGCTTCCGAAAGCTTCTCGGAAAGCGAGGCGGCTGCAGCTGGCACCGGGAGTTTGGGGCTCCCTCCTGGGGACTGTCAGAGCCGCGGGAGAACCCCACGGTCCTGGAGTAGGAACTCCCTCGCTTGTTCTTCCCGGCCGATAGGGTGCGGCCAGGAGCCCGCACAGCCTTGCAGGTGTTGTAGTAATTCTCTGGCACAGCCACCACGCGTTGAGACTTGATGAGCATTGCCAGGTTGCTGGGGTAACTCCTCTGGGATTGGAGACCTGGAGGAGGGGTGGCCCGATTAGGGTAGCTGTTAGTCAACGGCCGGGCAGCTGACAGGTGAAAGAGGAAGGAAGAGGCCGACCCAGCTGTAGAAAGTTGGGGTTCAGTGATGTGGAAACCAGCCACATAGAAGTCCAGTCTTCCCTTGGGTAAGCCTGCAGGACTCCCCAGTCCACTCCAGTTGGGGAATCCCCCACACCACGTATACACACATAACTCAAGGCTTTGACCAGTTTTGTTTTGTGTTTTTAAATCTATTTTAGTGGCAGAAAGGCGAGTGGGAGAGAAGGCTTCTTCAGGAGGTACATGAGAAAATTACCATCAATAATTATTTGCCTTGCTGGGAGAATCAACAAAAGATATCTAGGCAATTGGGGATTTAATATTGAATCATTGAACTGCATGTTGAATATTGAATAATTCAATATTGAATTATTCAATATTGGGAGGCCGAGGTGGGCGATCACTTGAGGTCAGGAGTACTTCAAGACCAGCCTGGCCAAGGTGGTGAAACCTGGTCTCTACTAAAAATACAAAAATTAGCCGGACGTGGTGGCACACACCTGTAATCCCAGCTACTCGGGAGGCTGAGGCAGAAGAATCGCTTGAACCCAGGAGGTGGATGTTGTAGTGAGCCGAGATCGCACCACTGTACTCCAGCCTGAGCCACGGAGGAAGACTCCGTCTCAAAAAAAAGAAAAAATCTTTTTGAATAAGCTGCTTCAGAAAAACCTAGGGATTATTATAATGAAATCTACATATTGATATATCCACTTATATATTTACCAAAAAATCCCACTTTTTTATCACATTAAAAGAAAACCAAAGCCAAATTTTAAATGCTTGAATTAAAAATTAGAAATATATGTATAATGTTGAGCATGAAACCAATTGGTTATATTTAGGTGTGTTTATTAATTTGAAAAATCAAGAAGGAAGACATTTTAGTATACTAAAAATTTTTTCTTCATTTTAAGACCTAAGGACCCAGCAAGTGGAGATATATAAATTACATCAAGTGCCAAAAGTTCTGAGAATGGATTCATATAACCCTCAATTGTATAAAGTTGAAAATATGCTATCATAAAAACCCTCGATAAGATTTAATAATGGCTTTTATAGCTCATGTTTTCATTTCCTTGTTAACCATTTCTTGAATTCTTTGTTGCATTAAGTACCTATTTTCTAGTATTCAGTTAGATTAAAATGTTTGATGAAATTTCAGGAAACTATACTTTCTTTTGAGAATGCATACCTTCCCAGGTGACAGGGTCAAATGTTGCATGAACCTAGGCTGATTCATTTATGTTCCTAAACCACACATTTGACTTCAGATATTTTTGCTATAATACTTACATATACTATACATTTACAAATACTATATATTTACATATATTTGTGGTTCATGTTATGAATAATGTCAGGTATATTTTATATATAAATGAAGAGATTTGTATATTTATGTATATAATAATTAATATTTATATGTGTCTATGAAGAGATTTGTTAGAGTGGACAGCCTTTTGAAAATAAAGTCCAAAAAGCCTTCTTTGGGTATAACAATTATAGGTAGATAGTCCTTTTTTTTTTTTTTTTTTTTTTGAGATGGAGTCTCACTCTGTTGCCGAGGCTGGAGTGCAGTGGTGTGATCTCGGCTCACTGCAAGCTCCGCCTGCGGGGTTCATGCCATTCTCCTGCCTCAGCCTCCCGAATAGCTGGGACTACAGGTGCCCGCCACCACCCCCGGCTAATTTTTTTGTATTTTTAGTAGAGATGGGGTTTCACCGTGTTAGCCAGGATGGTCTCGATCTCCTGATGTCGTGATCCGCCCACCTCAGCCTCCCAAAGTGCTGGGATTACAGGCGTGAGCCACCGCGCTGGCCGGTGGATAGTACTTTGAACATCATTAGCATTTTCTCCAACAGTATGATAGATGTTGTAGAACTAAATGGCAGTTTATTTAATGCTTAAAGAACTATAGTGCATTTCAGAATATGTAGGGATTATGTGTTCACAGCTAACATAATATTTATTGTTTCTGAGAAAGTGAAGATTAAGTCAAAGGAGGCCGGGCGATAGAGTGAGACTCCTTCACAAAAAAAAAAAAAAAAAAAAAAGTCAAAGGAAAATCATCCGTAACATTGATGTTAGGATGTGTCAAAGTCAATGTAGATGGCAAAATGAGTTTTTCCATAGGATGTTAATAATCCATGAAAAGTACTCTTATGAATGTTAATACAGCTCACAAATATGAAACAATAGGATTACAAGCTCCTTAAAGCTTTTCTCCAAGACTAAGATTATATATCTGGAATTTGTATTTTATGGTTCCACTTTTCCACTTTCAAATTCTTTATCCATAGGTATGTCCTATTTATTTTTCATTTATCATTTTCTGTGTGTATGTGTAGTTAAATCCAATAGATCAAGGAAGGAGATGAATGATAATTATAGATTCTGTATATTACTGAGTACTTATGCTAAGCATTTTTCATTCCTTAATCTAATTGAAAAAAATTCTGTTAGCTCTTAATCTTTCATAGCTGCTACACATTATTTCTCTTGTAGACTTTGGTTCTTAATATATGTTTAACCATGCTGTTATTGGACTAGTTTGGGAAATTTTTTCCAGTAGAAGATACCAGTGCTTCTATCTAATTTAGATCTGTATATTCAGTAGTGACTAGATGGTTTTCTTGATATTTATTTGTTGAGTTGTACTGAAAAGGAATGAATGAGTTTTCTTTTATTTTTTTTGAGATGGAGTCTTGCTCTGTTGCCCAGGCTGGAGTGCAGTAGCACAATCTCGGCTCACTGCAACCTCCGCCTCCCTGGTTCAGGCGATTCTCCTGCCCCAGCCTCCTGAGTAGCTGGAATTACAGGCACGCGCCTCCATGCCTGGCTAATTTTTGTATTTTTAGTACAGACGGGGTTTCACAATGTTGGTCAGACTGGTCTCGAACTCCTGACCTCATGATCCGCCTGCCTGGGCCTTGCAAAGTGCTGGGATTACAAGCATGAACCACTGTGCCCAGCCATGAGTTTTCTTTTTAAAGTGTAATAAGAGATCAAAGTGCAGGAACTGCTAAGAAGACACAGTAAAATGGAGAGGAACATAGGCAAAACTAGGTGGTTTTCCTCATTGAATTTTATAAACATAGTGTGGTTTGTTTATTGGTCATTCATGTGGCATGTTTCTCATTTTGTATCTTTTAATGTGCATAACTACTAATAGGTAATGTTTATTGAGTACTTACGATATGCCAGTTTTGGTGCTTTAAATAGGTTATCTTGTTTAAACTTCATGCCAGTGCTATAGTAAATGCTTATGGTGCCCATTTTATGTGTGAGAACACTGAGGCTTAGAGAGGTTAAGAACTTGAAAATGGTGGCTTGAGCCAGGTGGTGTGGTGACGTGCACCTGTATTCCCAACTACTTGGAGCTGAGGTGGGAGAATCGCTTGAGCCCAGGAGTTCCAGGCTAGCCTGGGCAACATGGCAAGAATGTCTCAAAAGAAAAGAAAGAAAACTGTAGCTTTGTATTTAGGCAATCTGACATACATTCTTACCTACCAAAGTGTATAATAACTTGCTCCAGACTGTTAAAAATATTTGCAGATGCTAATATTTAATGGTCTGATTTTTCTTTTGCAGATTATTTAATGTAATGGCAACTCCACGGGGGAGGACAAAGAAAAAAGCATCTTTTGATCATTCTCCGGATAGCCTTCCTTTGAGGAGCTCCGGTAGGCAGGTAGTGTTCATTTATTCATTCAACAAGCCTTTTTTGAGCATGCAGAATTACTGATTGGGACTGGAGAATTAGAGTTGAAAAGATTACTCCAGCCCTCAAGTTGCTTGTATTCTAGGGGAGAAATTCTCAGTACGGTCATAACACAGTGTGATAACATGATAGAATATACAAAATAGAAGCATTATCTGGCAGAGGGAACTGTAAGTATAAAGGCGTAGAGTGTGAATCAGCATAGGATGTTCAGAGATTCACGGCTGTGTGGTTGCTTCCAGAGTGTGAGGCTGGGGCCAGATCATGCCTGGCTTGGATGTCATTCATAGGAATTTGGACTTCAGCTTGGAATTGGTTGAATGCTATTGGAGGGTTATGTATAGGGCTTTTTGGGTAGGGCTTTTATTCTTTTAAAAGAAAAAATTGAACAATGTAATTCTTTCTCTATAATTTTTCTAGCTTTTTATTTAAAATAGAGGGGGCCAGGCACGGTGGCTTACACCACCTGCAATCCCAGCACTTTGGGAGTCCGAGGCCGGTGGATCACAAGGTCAGGAGATCCAGACCATTCTGGCTAACATGGTGAAACCCCGTCTCTACTAAATATGCAAAAAATTAGCTGGGTGTGGTGGCGGGCGCCTGTAGTCTCAGCTACTCGGGAGGCTGAGGCAGGAGAATGGCGTGAACCTGGGAGGTGGAGCTTGCAGTGAGCAGAGATGGCGCCACTGCATTGCAGCCTGGGCGACAGAGTGAGACTCTGTCTCAAAAAAAAAAATAGAGGGTATAACTGCTCTAAATAAAGAAAAAACAAATCTCAATTTGGGGAATGACTTTTTTTTTTTTGACTCATGTCACTTTTTTTTTTTTTTTTTTTCCAGACAATCTCCTCTATCCCCCAGGCTGGAGTACAGTGACACAATCGTGTGTGCCACAATGCCTGGTTGATTTTTTTTTATTTTTAGTAGAGAGGAGGTCTCGGTATGTTGCCCAGGCTGGTCTTGGACTCCTGAGCTTAAGTGATCCTTCCACCTCAGCCACCCAAAGTGCTGGGGATTACAGGCATGAGCCACCACACCCAGCTGATGTCACTTTTTTCTAAGAAAGACTCATATGAATTTAGTTCTTTGCTTAGACATCTGTTGTTAAAATGCTATTTCTATATCTCTAGCAAGTTAGTAAATTACTTGCACAATGCAGTCACCAGGAAATTGCTGTATTGTCATCCCTAACCTACTGCCATGATGTTTTTGACCTTCATGTTTAGAACTCAGCTGTGATTTCAGTAGTGAACCTTCATCCTTAGTCATTTTGCCATCATCAGTGAAATTTTAACATCAGCTGTGACTCCCTTAGGCGAAGAAGAAAGCAACAGAGACAACAGATGAGGATGAAGATGGTGGCTCAGAGAAGAAGTACAGGAAATGTGAAAAGGCAGGCTGTACGGCAACATGTCCTGTGTGCTTTGCAAGTGCTTCTGAAAGGTCTGTTTAGATGTGTGTCTTGGCCTCCCATTTCTGCTTGTGAGAAGTTCTTTGTGGAAACATCATCCTTGTAGATAGTTTTCCTAAAGATAGATACAGATACTATAAGTCATCTAATCTAATAATAGAGACATTGCCCAGACATTCTGTACACACCACACCCTCCTCAAGGCCCTCCCTACTTATCCCTAGCCTACTGGGAGAGGCCACACCCATGTCAATTTTGCAACACAGTGTCCTCAAATCCAGCCAACCATATCTACCTCTCCAAGGGTTGAGGGTGGGATGGTGTATGTCGTGGTGAGACAGTAGAGAGAACTCATGAGCTTTCTGTAGACACCAGTGTTTGTTTACTTTTCGTTGTGTTTTTCTCTCTCATATAACATGCCACCTCTTCCCATACGCACATACAGGTCTCATAGAAACTACAGCTAACTGCAGCCTTGCCATTTTTATTGTGGGGTGACACAAGTATGATCTTCTTTTTTTTTTTCTTTTTTACTTCCAGAGGAAAATATTCAATTAAGGGTTAAGGTTCAATAAAATCGAGAAAACAAATCCTATTTGTTTTTAAACACAAAGAGGGCCAGGCATGGTGGCATGCGCCTGTAATCCCAGCACTTTGAGAGACCAAGATGGGCGGATCAGTTGAGGTCAGGAGTTCCAGACCAGCCTGGCCAACATGGTGAAACCCTGTCTCTACTAAAAATACACAAATTAGCTGGGCACGGTGGCAGAAGCCTGTAATCCCAGCCACTCAGGAGGCTGAGGCATGAGAATCGCTTGAACCCAGGAGGCAGAGGTTGCAATGAGCCTGAGATCGTGCCACTGTACTCCAGCCTGAGTGACAGAGCAAGACTCCATCTCAAATAAATAAAAAAATATTAAAAATAAACACAAAGACGTGGTGATCGTGTTCATAGTGGCATGATTTTTCATTCTCTTGCTATATTATCAACTGTTTGACAAGTTATCTTTGCCAAATTGCCTGCTTGATGTTCAGATTTCAGCTGACCAGATTCCCTCGCTGTTCAGTACTGGGCCCCACGTTATTCTCTCATGTCCACATATGCAGCCTGCAGCAAGCACAGTGGCATCTGTCCTTTTGTGTCATAAAACCCTATCATTGCCCCAAGGAGTCTTCTTAAGACTGCTAAGCCCCAGGCAGCCAGCTAGGTTAGGTCCCATGGCCTAAGTCCCTGCATCCTTCCTGTGTGTTATTATCTACTAGTAATCCATTCCTGTTTCCCCTGTCCTTAAGGGGCTAAGTGGAGATAATGCAAAATGGGTTCATAGATGGTGCTTGCAAGATGTTTTTTAAAAAATGGGAGGAGAAATGTTTATTCATTACCAAAGCTATATGTTTTTCACTATTTTCAGATGTGCCAAAAATGGCTACACCTCCCGATGGTATCATCTCTCCTGTGGGGAACATTTCTGTAATGAATGCTTTGACCATTACTACAGAAGGTATGTTCACTAATTGTGTGAGGTTTCCCTGGAGAAGGGGACCGTGGCAGGGGCAGTGCGTGTGGTCAGCTGATTAAAGCTTAGTCTCGAGGCTTACTGAATTATTCAGCTCTTTCAGCCATGCCTGTGATGACTGTAACTTGGACGAGAACTTTGATGTTGTAGTTTGTGTGCATGTTTGTGTGTGTGCACACTCAGGGATCAAAAAATATCTGCCATTTCTTTTTTTTTTTTTTTTGAGGCAAGAGTCTTGCCTAGGCTGGAGTGTAGAGACATAATTTCAGCTTACTGCAACCTCCAACTTCTGGGTTCCTTAATAGAGATGGGGTCTCGCCATGTTGTCCAGGCTGGTCTCAAACTCCTGGGCTCAAAAGATCTGCCTGCCTTGGCCTCCCAAAGTGCTGGGATTACAGGCGTGAGCCACTGCACCCAGCGAAACAGTTATTTCTTGAGTCAAAGTTCTGGAACATCTAGGAGATGTTGATTCTATTTTATTGTTTTCGATTTCATTTGTGCTCTAATTTTTATTTTTTACTTGTGTTTGCTTTAGGTTTAATTTTTTATTTCTCTAGTTTCATAAATTAGTAGCTTCAATTATTTATTTTTAGATCTTTCTTCTTTTCCAATAAATGCGTTTTTAAATGCCATAAATTTCTGTCCAAGTAGGTTGTGATATTTCACAAATTTTGACAACTTTTATTTTAATTTAGTTCAAAATATTTTTAAATTTCCATTGAGTTTTCCTTTTTGATCTATAGATTATTTAGAAGTAAATTGTTTAATTTACAAATATTTGGGACACCTCCAGCAATTTTTCTGTTACTGATTTCTAGTTTAGTTCAGCAATGGTCTGAGAATATACTTTGTATGATTTCTACGTTTTAAATTTGTCAAAGTTTGCTTTATGGCCCGTAATGTAGTGTATCTTGGTAAATGTCCTGCATGCAGTGGAGAAAAATGTGTATTTTGCTATTGTCAGGTGGGTCTATCAGTGTCAACTAGACCAAGTTGATTGATAGTGCAGTTCAGGTCATATATATATATATATACACACACATACATACATCTTTCTGATTTACTCCTACCTGATCTTTCAGTTACTAAGAAAAGTGTCTTAAAGTCTGCAATTATAATTGTCTCTTAACATTTCCAACTATAATGCAGATATGTCTATTTTTCCTTTCAGTTCTATATATTTTTACCTCATGTATTTTTTTTCTTGAGATGGAGTCTCGCTCTGTTGCCCAGGCTGGAGTGCAGTGGTGCGATCTGGACTCACTGTAACTTCCACCTCCTGAGTTCAAGCCATTCTTCTGCCTTAGCCTTCCAAGTAGCTGGGATTACAGGCGTGCACTACCGCACCTGGCTGATTTTTGTATTGTTAATAGAGACAGGACTTCATCATGTTGGTATGGCTGGCCTTGAATTCCTGACCTTGGGTGATCTGCCTGCCTCAGCCTCCCAAAGTGCTGGGATTATAGCACTTTGGTGGTAGCTCGAGCCACCACGCCTGGCCGTCATGTATTTTTAAGCTCTGTTGTTAACATTGTACATCTAACATTGTTGTGGATTCTCTCAAAATTGACCCCTTTGTGTAATATCCCTTGTCTTATCCCTGATAATATTCATTATTCACATAAATATGGCTGCCTCAGCTTTTTTAATGTTAGCATGATACACCTTTCTTTGTTTCTTTACTTTTTACCTTTCTGAGTCTTTGTATTTAGAGTAGGTTTCTTTTCTTTTCTTTTGAGACAGGGTCTTGCTCTGGAGTGCAGTGGCGTGATCTTGGCTCACTGCAACTTCCGCCTCCTGGGTTCAAGTGATTCTCGTGCCTCAGCCTCCTGAGTAGCTGGGATTACAGGTGTGCGCCACCATGCCCAGCTAATTTTTGTATTTTTAGTAGAGGCTGGGTTTCCCCATGTTGGCCAGGCTGGTCTCAAACTCCTGGCCTCATGTGATCCTCCCACCTTGTCCTCCCAAAGTGCTGGGATTACAGGTGTGAGGCTCCATGCCCGGCCTAGAGGAGATTTCTCATTTACACTTATAGTTTTTTTGTAATCCCACTGACAATCTCTTTTAATCTGTATGTTTATGCTATTCATGTTTTAAGTGATTGTTGATATAACTGGATTAAAATATCTTGCTAGCTGTTTTCCATATGGTGCATTTTATTCTTTTTCCCCTTCCTCTGCCTTCTCTGATTTTTTTTTTTTTTTTTTTTTTTGAGACAGAATCTTACTCTGTCCCCCAGGCTGGAGTGCAGTGGCGTAATCTCGGCTCACTGCAAGCTCTGCCTCCCAAGTTCACACCATTCTGCCTCAGCCTCCCAAGTAGCTGGGACTACAGGCACCCGCTACCACACCTGGCTAATTTTTTGTATTTTTAGTAGAGACGGGGTTTCACTGTGTTAGCCAGGATGGTCTCGATCTCCTGACCTGGTGATCTGCCTGCCTTGGCCTCCCAAAGTGCTGGGATTACAGGCGTGAGCCACCGTACCCCGCCGCCTTCTCTGATTTTAATTGAGCATTTTTATGATTGTATTGTATTTCATCTACTGATGTAATTTTTAATGGCTGCCCTAGGATTTACTACATACATTAAAAAAATATTCTAGGCTAGGTGCAGTGGCTCACGCCTATAATCCCAGCACTTTGGAAGGTTGAGGTGGGCAGATCTCTTGAGGTTAGGAGTTCGGGACCAGCCTGGCCAACATGACGAAACCCCATCTCTACTAAAAATACAAAAGTTAGCCAGGCATGGTGGCAGGTGCCTTTAATCCCAGCTATTTGGAGGTTGAGGCATAAGAATCCCTTGAACCCAGGAGGTGGAGGTTGCAGTGAGCCAAGATTGTGCCATTGCGCTGCAGCCTGGGTGACAGAGTGAGACTCCATCTCAAAAGAAATTTAAAAAAATAATAAAAAAATAAAAATATTCGGAACTGGTTCCAGCTACTTGGGAGCCTGAGGCAGAAGGATCGCTTGAGCTTGGGAGTTCGAGGTTGCAGCACACCATGATTCATGATTGCAGCTGTGAACAGTCACTGTACTCCAGCCTGAGCAACATAGCAACACCCTGTATCAAGGGGAAAAAAAAGAAAAAAATTTAATTTCTCTTTCAAATAACACTATGCCTTTCTTAGTTTTAGATACTAAAACTGACAAGAATATACCCCTTCTGACAGCCTGTTTTATGGGTGCCATAATAACTTTCTCTACTTTTATAACAAGGCTAGTTATGTTTGTTACGTAAGATTTACTAACCTGCCTCCTGTTTTGAAAAACCTGATTGCTTATAGCAATCGATATATTAATCGATATATTAATTTTTCTTGTTTTTCAGCCATAAGGATGGATATGACAAATATACTACATGGAAAAAAATATGGACTAGCAATGGCAAAACCGAACCTAGTCCCAAAGCTTTCATGGCAGACCAGCAACTCCCCTACTGGGTAAGGAGAGTGATGCTCTCTGTCTGTGAAGTATTTGTGGAGCCAAATGCAAGAGGCATGGATGAAAATGCTGTTTAGGAAATCTCCTATTACATTTATTGTTCCTTCTATGACTATTAAAGCAAATATTTTTTATTTTTATAGAAAGCTGAGATATTTCAACATAGTATAAAAGAGGAAACTAGGCTGGGTTTGGTGGCTCATACTTGTAATCCTAGCCCTTTGGTAGGCTGAGGTGGGAAGACTGCTTTGCGCCCAGCCTGGGCAAAGTGAGACCCTATCTCATAGTAAGACCCCATCTTTACAAAAAAAAATTTTTTTTTTAAGTAGGCAAGAATGGTGGCAGGTGTCTGTAGTCCCATCTACTCATCAGGTTGAGGTTGGGGAATTGCTTGAGCTCAGGAGTTCAAGGCTGTAGTGAGCTATGATTACACCACTACACTCCAGCCTGGATGACAGAGTGAGAGGCTGTCTCAAAAAAAAAAAAATGGTTTTAAAAAAGAAAAAACTAAAGGCTCACCACCAGCTGGTGATAGTCATTGCTGAGCTTGGTACATAGCTTTTTGATCCTTTTTTTCTTTTCATATTTTTGTCTGTTTAAACACAATTTCATGCTTTATATACATATACTGATTAGGTTTAAAATCAGGCTTCAGATACGATTTTTGTAATGTTTAGCTTTTTAAAAATTAATTTGGGCCAGGGCTGTGGCTCACACCTGTCATCCTAGCACTTTGGGAGGCTGAGGTGGGCAGATCACAAGGTCTAGAAATCAAGACCATCCTGGCCAACATGGGGAAACCCCGTCTCTACTAAAAAAATACAAAAATTAGCCGGGCGTGGTGGCGCGCGCCTGTTGTCCCAGCTACTTGGGAGGCTGAGGCAGGAGAATCGCTTGAACCCAGGAAGCGGAGGTTGCAATGAGCTGAGATCGTGCCACTGCACTCCAGCCTGGTGACAGAGTGGGACTCTGTCTCAAAAAAAGAAAAAAAAAATTAAATTGACCTCATATTCTTTTTTCATTTAGTCATTCTTTGAAAATATATTTTCATTATTGCATATATTGTTGAAATATACCACCATTTAATAAATGATTTGCTATTTTTTTTTTCTGAGACAGGGTCTCACTCTGTTGCCCAGGCTGTAGTGCAGTGGCACAATCTTAGCTCACTACAACCTCCACCTCCCGGGCTCAAGCGATTCTCCCACCTCAGCCTCCCTAATAGCTGGGACTCTCCGCACATGCTACCACGCCCAGCTGACTTTTGTATTTTTTGTAGAGATGGGGTTTCACCATGTTGCCCAGGCTGGTCTTAAATTCCTAGGCTCAAGTGATCCACCTGCCTCAGCCTCCCACAGTGCTGGGATTACAGACATGAGCCACAATGCCCAATTTTTTTTTAAGATGGGGCCTTGCTCTGTCGTTCAGGCTAGAGTGCAGTTGTGGGATTATGACTCACTGCAGCCTCGGTCTCCCAGGCTCAAGTGATCCTCCCACCTCAGCCGGCAGAGCAGCTGGAACTATAGAGTGCACCACCATGTCCAGCTAATTTGTTAATTCTTTATAGAGACAGGACTCGATATCTTGCCCAGGCTGGTCTCAAATACTGGACTCAAGCAATCCTCCCACTTCAGCCTCTCAAAGTGTTAGGATTACAGGTGTGAGCCACTGTACCTGGCCAATTTGCTAATTTTAAAAATATTATAAGTAATGCTGAGCTTTGTGCACGCTTAAAGATTTTTTCATTGAAGTAAAATTCGTATAACATAAAATTAACCATTTTAAATTGTGCAGTTCAGTGGCACTTAGTATATTCACAATGTTATGCAATTACCACCCCTATCTAATTCCAAAGTATTTTCATCACGCACAAGGGAAGCCCTAATTCTTGCTACCCCCAGTTCCTGGTAACCGCTAATCTGCTTTCTGTGTTTATGGATTTATCTATTTTGGATGTTTCATATGAATGGAATCGTGCAACATGTAAACTTTTGTATCTGACCTTTTTCACCTAATGTAATGTTTTTGAGATTCATATCCATTGTAGGATGTGTCAGTACTTCATTCTTTTTTATGGGTGAATAATACTCCATTGAATGGATATGCCACAGTTTTTTTAAGCATTCATCTATTGATGGACATCTAGATCATTTCAAGCGTTTAGCAATTGTGAATAGTGCTGCAGTGAACATTCTTGTAGAAGTATTTGTTTGACTACCTGCTTGCAATTCTTGGGTATGTACCTAGAAATATAATTGCTAGATCATATTTGGTAATTATATGGGACCTCAAACTCTTTTCCATAGTTCCTGTACCATTTTTCATTCCTGTCTGTAGCATATGAGGGTTCTGATTTTTCCACGGGTTTGAAGTGGTATCTCATGGTGGTTTTAATTTGCATTTCCCTAATGACTAATGCAACCTTTCGTATGCTTGTTGTCCATTTGTATATCTTTGGAGAAATATCTGTTAACATCCTTTGCCCATTTTTGTTTTGTTTTGTCGTCTTTGAGATGGAGTCTTGCTCTGTCACCCAGGCTGGAGTGCAGTGGTGCGATCTTGGCTCGCTGCAACCTCTGCCTTCTGGGTTCAAGCCATTCTCCTGCCTCTGCCACCTGAGCAGCTGGGATTATAGGTGTGTGCCACCACCCTGGGCTAATTTTTGTATTTTTAGTAGAGACGGAGTTTCATCATGTTGGCCAGGCTGGTCTCGAACTCCTGATGTCAGGTGATCTGCTCGCCTCGGCGTCCCAAAGTGCTGGGATTACAGATGTGAGCCACCTCGCCCAGTCTTCCTTTGCCTTTTTTAAAGTTGTCTTTTTGTAGTTGAGTTGTAAGAATTATATATATATAAATTTTTTTTTTTTTTTTGAGATGGAGTTTCGCTCTTGTCACCCAGGCTGCAGTGCAATGGTGCCATCTCTGGCTCACTGCAACCTTTGCCTTCTGGGTTCAGGTGATTCTTCTGCCTCAGCCTCCCAAGTAGCTGGGATTACAGGCACCCGCCACCACACCTGGCTAATTTTAGTAGAGATGGGGTTTCACCATGTTGGCCAGGCAGGTCTCAAACTGCTGACCTCAGGTCATCTGCCTGCCTCAGCTTCCCAAAGTTCTGGGATTATAGGCGTGAGCCACCGTGCCTGGCCTTTTTATATATTTTGGATACTAAACCCTTATTAGATCTATGATTTGCAAGTATTTTTTCCTATAGGTTGTTGTCTTCCTTTGGTAGAGCCCATTGATGCCCAAAGGTTTTTAATTTTGAGGAAGTTCAATTTATCTGTTTTTTTCTTTTGTTGCTTTTGGTGTTACCGCTTATAATTCGTTGCCAAATTCAAGGTCATAAAGGTTTACTTTCTTTTCTAAGAGTTCTGTTGTTTGAGTGCTTACGTTTAGGTATTATTTTATCTATTTTGAATTAATATTTGTATATGTGTAAAGTAGGGTGTCTAACTTCATTCTTTTGCATATGGATATCTGCATGCTTTTAAAAAATAAACTTTATTTTGGAATCATCTTTTTAAAATTATTTATTTATTTATTTTTTTGAGACAGAGTCTTGCTCTGTTGCCCAGGCTGGGGTGCATTGGTACGATCTCAGCTCACTGCAACCTCCACCTCCCAGTTCAAGCGATTCTCCTGCCTCAGCCTCCTGAGTAGCTGCGATTACAGGCATGCACCCCCACGCCCAGCTAATTTTTTTATATTTTTAGTAGAGATGGGGTTTCACCATGTTGGCCAGGCTGGTCTTGAGCTCCTGACCTCAGGTGATTCACCTGCCTCAGCCTCCCAAAGTGCAGGCGTGAGACACTGCACCAAGTCTGGAATCATTTTAAATTTACTGAGTTGCTAAGATAGTACAGAGAGTTTCCATATATCCTTCATGCAGCTTCCCTTAATGTTGTCATCTTACATACCATGATTATTTGTCAAAGTAAGAAATTAACTTTGGCATAGTACTAATAACTGTAGACTTTATTTGGATTTCATCAGTTTCTTCACTAATGTTCTTTTACTGTTCTAGGATCCAACGCAGCATACCACATTGCATTTAGTATGCATGCTTTTTGACTAACTGAAAGTAAATTTCAGTTTATTTTACGCTGATTTTTTTTTTTTAGACAGGGTCTCAGTCTGTTTCCCGGGCTGGAGTGCAGTGGTATAATCTCAGCTCACTGCAGCCTTGACCTCCCCAGGCTCAAGCCATCCTCTCACCTCAGCCTCCTGAGTAGCTGGGACTACAGGCATGCACCACCGCACCTGTCTGCTTTTGTATTTTTTGTAGAGACAGGATGTCACTATGTTGCCCAGGCTAGTCTGGAACTCCTGGGCTCAAGCAGTCTGCCTGCCTCAGCCTCCTAAAGTGCTGAGATTACAGGTGTGAGCCACCATGCCTGGCCCTGATTGTTTCTTTAGGTTAGAGCTGGAAAACCTTTCTCTTTTTTTTTTCCTTTTTTTTGAGACGGAGTCTTGCTCCGTTGCCCAGGCTGGAGTGTAGTGGTGCGATCTCGGCTCACTGCAAGCTTCGCCTCCCGGGTTCATGCCATTCTCCTGCCTCAGCCTCCTGAGTAGCTGGGACTACAGGCGCCCGCCACCACGCCTGGCTAACTTTTTGTATTTTTAGTAGAGACGGGGTTTCACCGTGTTAGCCAGGATGGTCTGGATTTCCTGACCTCGTGATCCGCCCGCCTTGGCCTCCCAAAGTGCTGGGATTACAGGCGTGAGCCACTGCACCTGGCCTAGAAAACCTTTCTGACAACAAAACTCAGATCCCCTTGGCACTTTCCTCACCCTGAGGAAGTATTAAATCAGAAATTATCCTAATGGGGTGAAAGTGAATTATATGGATGATGGTAATGCAAGGAGGAGAAAAAATACTTAGGATTGCTAACAGGTTGGAGAAGATGACCAAGTGGTGGAGGATAGAAATGGTAACTGAAGATTAGCTCACTTGTTCATCTTGACTTGATACTTCCCATCTAGGTTCAGTGTACAAAACCTGAGTGTAGAAAATGGAGGCAGCTTACCAAGGAAATCCAGCTTACTCCACAGATAGCCAAGACTTATCGATGCGGTATGAAACCAAATACTGCTATTAAGGTATGTTCTCTTTTTGCTTTTGAGTTAATTGATATATTAATGTAGTCAGTAAATAGTAATGGTGTATATGTTTTTCATGTATTGTGTTGATCATTCTGTCAAGGTTGTATTTGCATGCATGTAATAGAACCCCAACTATAATGGCTTAACCAATTAAGGATTTTACTTTTCCGTCATTATAAGCAGTTAAGACATAGGTAAGCAGTTAAGACATAGGCTGTCCAGGGTTGGTTTTGTTGCCCAAGGAAATCTCTTTGTAGCTTCCACTCCAGCCACCTGTAGTCTAACTTCATCCTGAAGGCCACAAGGTAGTTGCTATACCACCAGTCATGTGTCCAAATCCTAAGCAGAAAAGGGGGAAAGGTCAAAGGGCAAGAGGGGAGTATCAGCTGAGCCTGTCCCTCTTTTCCTGGGGGAAACAGGAGCTTTCCTGGAAGTTCCTTCAGTAGATTTCTATTTATATCTCATTGGCGAGAACAGGATCATGCAGCTACTCTGGTTTTAATTTTTTTGCTAGTTTTGGTTTGTTTCGTTTTTATATAATGATGTTGACACCATAAATGCAGCTTCCCTAACTATAGTGAGGACAGAGGAAGAAAATATTTTACGACTGAGGATGTTGCAACACTAAACAAAGCCGGATCCTATTAGTGAGGAAGAAAAGATTAATTGATATGCTTGGCAATTAGGAATCGGCCATCGTTGTTATAATGTGCCTTTTTTGAAATTTGGCAATTACTTACTGTTTAAAAACCTATTATTATTGCTTTAGTGCGTTAAGGGTGTTAGTCTACACAAATGCCACTGGTACCTGCAGTACATTAAAGAATATTAGGAATCCTTTTAATCTCAGAGGTAAAATACTTTGTTTCTAGAAATTGAGATAAAATTCACATATTATAAAATTCACCCTTTTAAAGCATACAATTGAGTGGCTGTGGTGCAGGTTGAGCACCCTAGTCTGAAAATCTGAAATGTTCCAAAATCTGAAACTTTTTGAGCTCTGAGATGATGCTCAGAGGTTCTGCTCAAAGGAAATGTTCACTGGAGCATTTTAGATTTTCAGATTAGGGATGCCCAACCAGTAAGTATGTTGCAAACATTCCAAAATCCAAAACACTTCTGGTCCCAAGCATTTCAAATAAGAGAAATTCAACCTGGGATTCAAAATATAAACATCATATTTTTATAACGCCTGGAATTCAGTAAAAGCCTGGGATTCAAAATATAAACATAATATTCTATTTCATTATATTTATAATAAACTATATAGTTTATTTTCTGTGCCTGGCCTATTCGTTTCTTATGAATAAAAACATATTAGGAGTGGTTGGGCGCGGTGGCTCACACCTGTAATCCCAGCACTTTGGGAGGCCGAGATGGGCGGATCACCCGAGGTCAGGAGTTCAAGACCAGCCTGGCCAACATGTTGAAACCCTGTCTCTAGTAAAAATATAAAAATTAGCCCAGTGTGGTGGCATGTGCTTGTAATCTCAGCTACTCGGGAGGCTAAGGTAGGAGAATCACTTGAACCCGGGAGGTGGAGGTTGCAGTGAGCTGAGATCATGCCATTGCACTCCAGCCTGGGCAACAAGAGTGAAACTCCATCTCAAAAAAAAAAAAAAAAGTGTAATCAGTGAGTTATATCATAAATTTATGTTTAATGTTTGCAAAACTACCAAATGTCTTTCCATGGTTGTACCATACTACAACATTTTGTAGTGTTATTCTTTTTTAAAAAATTTAATTATAGCCATTCTAATGGGTATGTACTAGTATCATTGTAGGGTTAGTTTGCATTTCCCTACTAACTGGTGATCTTGAGTATATTTTCATATGCTTATTGGCCATGCATTTCTCTTTGGAAAATGTCTGATCAAGTTTTTTTTAAATTGGGTTTTATTGATTTGTAGTTCTTTATGTAATCTGGATATAACCATGTATTTTGAATATTTTTTCCCCCCAGTTTGTGTTAAGCCTTTTCATTTTCTGAATAGGTCTTTTATGAGGAATTTTCCATTTTGAAGTGTAGTTTATTCACTTTTTCATTTATGCTTAGAACTTTTTGTGTCTTTTCTGAGAAATCATTGGTTACCTTTCACCTTGTAAACATACTCTGTGATTTCTTTGAGGTGCCTTATAGTTTTCATCTTTACTTTTAGATCACTAGCTCAAGTTTTTTTTTGTTTTTGATGTGAGAGGTAGGCCAACATTCAATTTTTTCCATACAGATATTTAGTTGTTCATTACCGTTTGCTAAAAAGACTGTATTTTTCACTTTGTATTATCTTAGCACCATTGCTTTATTTTATTTTATTTTATTTTAGATGGAGTCTTGCTCTGTTGCCCAGGCTGGAGTGCAGTGGCTCGATCTCGGCTCACTGCAACCTCCGCCTCCCGGGTTCAAGCGATTCTCCTGCCTCAGCCTCCCAAGTAGCTGGGACTACAGGCACACACCACCACACCTGGCTAATTTTTGTATTATTAGTAAAGAGAGGGTTTCACCATGTTGGCCAGGCTGGTCTCGGACTCCTGACCTCGTGATCCACCTGCCTTGGCCTCCCAAAGTGTTGGGATTACAGGCGTGAGCCACTGCGCCCGGCCCTATCTTAGCACCATTATAAAAAAATCAATTGGCCGTATGTGTGTAAGTCTGTTTCTGGACCCTGTTGCATTAATCTGTTTTTTACCCAATGCTCTGCTGTCATGATTATTGTATCTGTATAGTAAGTCTTAAAATCAGGTAGTATACATTCTTCTAACTTTTTTTTTGTTTTCAAGATTGTTTTGGCTATTCTAGGACCCTTATATTTCCATGTAAATATCAACTTCTTAGTATCCAATAAAAAGCCTCTGGGTTTTTTATTGGAATGCATTGAATCTATGGGTCATTTGGAGAAGTGACATCTTTACATTTTTCAGTCCTCTAAGGGGTTGGTAAATGATGGCTCATGGGCCAAATCTGGCTGATACGTATTTATTTTTATTTATTTTTATTTTTCTGTAGGTTATTGGGGTACAGGTGGTGTTTGGTTATATAAGTTCTTTAGCGGTGATTTGTGAAATTTGGTGCACCCATCACCCGAGCAGTATACACTGCACCCTGTTTGTAGCCGTTTGTCCCTAGCCCCCCTTCTACTTTTCCCCCCAAGTCCCCAAAGTTCATTGTGTCATTCATATGCCTTTGTGTCCTCATAGCTTAGCTTCCACATATCAGTGAGAACATATGGTGTTTGGTTTTCCATTCCTGAGTTACTTCACTTAGAATAATAGTCTCCTATCTCATCCAGGTTGCTGCAAATGCCGTTAATTCATTCCTTTTCATGGCTGAGTAGTAGTCCATCATATATATATGTGTATGTATGTATGTACACATACGCACACACTGCAGTTTCTTTATCCACTTGTTGATTGGTGGGCATTTGGGTGGGTTCCACAATTTTGCAATTGTGAACTGTGCTGCTATAAACATGCATATGGAAGTATGTTTTTTGTATAATGACTTCTTTTCCTCTGGATACCCAGTAGTGGAATTGCTGGATCAAATGGTAGTTCTGCATTTAGTTCTTTAAGGAATCTCCACACTGTTTTCCATAGTGGCTGTACTAGTTTACATTCCCACCAGCAGTATAGAAATGTTCCCTGTTCACTGCATCCGCACCAACATCTACTGTGGTTTGATATTTTTATTATGGCCATTCTTGCAGGAGTAAGGTGGTATCACATTGTGGTTTCGACTTGCGTTTCCCCAATCGTTAGTGATGTTGAGCATTTTTTCATATGTTTGTTGGCCATTTATATATCTACTTTGAGAATTGTCTATTCATATCCTTAGCCCACTTTTTGATGGGGTTGTTTTTCTCTTAATGATTTGTTTGAGTTCATTGTAGATTCTGGATAGTAGTCCTTTGTCAGATGTATAGGTTGTGAAGATTTTCTCCCACTCTCTGGGTTGTCTGTTTACTCTGCTGATTGTTCCTTTTGCCTTGCAAAAGCTCTTTAAAGTCCCAGTTATTTATCTTTGTTTTTATTGTATTTGGATTTGGGTTCTTGGTCATGAAATCCTTGCCTAAGCAAGTGTCTAGAAAGGTTTTTCTAGTATTTCTTCTAGAATTTTTGTAGTTTCAGGTCCTAGATTTGTCCTTAATCCATCTTGAGTTGATTTTTGTGTGAGATATGAGGATCCAGTTTTCCTCCCCTAAATGTGGCTAGCCAATTATCCCAGCACCATTTGTTGTAAAGAGTGTCCTTTCCCCACTTTATGTTTTTGTTTGCTTTGTTGAAGATCAGTTGGCTCTAAGTATTTGGGTTTATTTCTGGGTTCTCTATTCTGTTTCATTGGTCTATGTGCCTATTTTTATACCAGTACCATGCTGTTTTGGTGACTATGGCCTTATAGTATAGTTTGAAATCAGGTAGTGTGATGCCTCCAGATTTATTCTTTTGCTTTGTCTTGCTTTGGCTATGCGGGCTCTTTTTTGGTTCCATATGAGTTTTAGAATTTTTTCTAATTATGTGATGAATGATAGTAGTATTTTGATGGGGATTGCTTTTAACTTGTAGATTGCTTTTGGCAATATGGTCATTTTCACAACATTGATTCTACCCATCCGTGAGCATCCATTTGTTTGTGTTGTCTATGATTTCTTCCAGCAGTGTTTTGTAGTTTTCCTTGTAGAGGTCTTTAGACTCCTTGGTTAGGTTTATTCCTAAGTATTTTATTTTATTTTGCAGCTATTGGTAAAGGGGTTGAGTTCTTGATTTGACTCTCTGCTTGGTCGCTGTTGGTGTATAGAAGAGCTACTGATCTGTGTACATTAATCTTGTATCTGGAAACTTTGCTAACTTCTTTTATCAGTTCTAGGAGCCTTCTGGAAGAGTCCTTAGGATTTTCGGGGTAAACGATCATATCATCAGCAAACAGTGACAGTTTGACTTCCTCTTTACCGATTTGGATGCCCTTTATCTCTTTCTCTTGTCTGATTGCTCTGGCTAGGACTTCTAGTACTATGTTGAAGAGGAGTGGTGAGATTGGGCATCCTTGTTTTGTTCCAGGTCTCAGAGGGAATGCTTTCAACTCTTCCCCATTCAGTATTATGTTGTCTGTGGGTTTGTCATAGATGGCTTTTATTACATTGAGGTATGTCCCTTGTATGCCGATTTTGCTGAGAGTTTTAATCATAAAGCGTTGCTGGATTTTGTCCAGTGCTTTTTCTGCATCTATTGAGATGATCATGTGATTTTTGTTTTTAATTCTGTTTATGTGGTATATCACATTTATTGATTTGCATATGTTAAACCATCCCTACATCCCTGGTATGAAACCCACTTGATCATGGTGGATTATCTTTTTGATATGTTGTTGGATTCAGTTAGCTAGTATTTTGTTAAGCATCTACATTAGCTAGTATTTTGTTAGCGTCTATGTTCATCAGGAATATTGGTCTGTAGTTTTCGTTTTTGGTTATGTCCTTTCCTGGTTTTGGTATTAGGGTGATGCTGGCTTCATAAAATGAATTAGGGAGGGTTCCTCTTTATCTTGTGGAATAGTGTCAAAAGGATTGGTACCAATTCTTCAAATGTCTGGTAGAATTCTGCTGTGAATCCATCTGGTCCTGGACTTTTTTTGTTGGTAATCTTTTAATTACCATTTCAATCTCACTACTTGTTATTGGCCTGTTCAGGGTATCTAATCCTTCCTGATTTAAGCTAGGAGGGTTGTATTTTTCCAGGAATTTGTCCATGTCTTCTAGGTTTTCTAGATTATGTGCGTAAAAGTGTTAGTAGTAGCCTCGAATGATCTTTTGTATTTCAGTGGTGTCAGTTGTAATATCTTTTTTTTTCTTAATGAAGTTATTTGGATTTTCTCCTTTTCTTGGTTAATCTTGCTAATTGTCTATCAACTTTATTTATCTTTTCAAAGAACCAGCTTTTTGTTTCATTTAACTTTTGTATTTTTTTTTGTTTCAATTTCATTTAGTTCTTGTCTGATCTCGGTTATTTCCTTTCTTCTGCTGGGCTTGGGTTTGGTTTGTTCCTGTTTCTCTAGTTCCTTGAGGCCACACCTATTTATTTATTTATTTATTTATTTTTAATTTTAAAAATTTTCTGTAGTGACAGGGTCTTGCTCTATTGCCCAGGCTGGTCTTGAACTCTTGGCCTCAAGTGATCCTCCCTTCCCAGCCTCCCAAAGTGCTGGGATTACAGGCGTTAGCCACCGCACCTGGCACCACACCTGTTTTGTAAATATGGTTTTAATTGGGACATAGCCATGCTCATTCCTGCTCCTGGTACCACACCTGTTTTGTAAATAAAGTTTTAATTGGGACATAGCCATGCTCATTGTTATGTATTGGCTGCTTTTATGCTACAATGACAGTATTTGCGACAGAGCCCAGAATATTTACTATGTGGTTCCTTACAGAAAATGTTTCCTGACCCCTTTTCTGACCCATGGGCATGGTATCTGTCTCCATCTTTTTGAGGTTAATGTCTCCCAACAGTGTTTTCTAATATTCACTGAGGATATCTTTTGTGCCTTTGTTCAATTTATTTCTAGATACTTAATTTTTTTTCCTGTAATTGTAGATAAAATTGATTGATTGATTGATTTTTTTGTTTTGGACGGAGTCTCACTCTGTCATCCAGGCTGGAGTGCAGTGGCACCATATTGGCTCACTGCAACCACCATCTCCTGGGTTCAAGCAATTCTCCTGCCTCAGCCTCCTGAGTAGCTGGGATTACAGGCACCCACCACCACGCCCAGCTAATTTTTTTTACATTTTTAGTAGAGATGGGGTTTCACCACATTGGCCAGGCTGGTCTCGAACTCCTGAACTCAGGTGATCTGCCTGCCTTGGCCTTCCAAAGTGCTGGGATTACAGGCATGAGCCACCGCACCCGGCCTATTTTTTATTATTTATTTATTTTTTGAAACAGAGTCTTGCTTTGTCGCCAGGCTGAAGTGCAATGGCACGATCTCGGCTCACTGCAACCTCCGCCTCCCAGGTTCAAGCAATTCTTCTGCCTCAGCCTCCCGAGTAGCAGGGACTACAGGCACACATCACCATGCCTGGCTAATTTTTTGTATTTTAGTAGAGACAGGGCTTCCCCATGTTGGCCAGGCTGGTCTCGAACTCCTGACCTCGTGATCTACCTGCCTTGGCCTCCCAAAGTGCTGGGATTATAGGTGTGAGCCACTGCACCCAGCCAATAAAATTTATTTTTAACTCCATTTTCAAGTTGTGCACTGTTGCAACTATATAGAAACACAATTGACTTGTATATTGGCCTTGTACCCAGAGACTTTGTTAACTTCACTTACTAAGTTTCATAGATCTTTTTCATAGATTCCTTTGGGTTGTCTGCAAATCAGTCATACAAATAATCATGATTGTCTACAAACCTCTTCTCAGTCTTTTTGCCCTTTTTCTTGCCTTACTACATTGGTCAGGACCACCAGTGATAGTGTTCTATAGAAGTGATGAGAGCAGACAACCTTGCCTTGTTCCTGACTTCAGGAGGAATGTGTTCAGTATCGTCATATACAGTGTTGGCTATAGCTCTTTGTAGACATTCTTTATGAGATGGAGCAGTCTCCTTTTCTTTTCCTAATTTGCTGATAACTTTTTATGATGAATAGATATTGGCTAATAGTTTTCCTGCATCTTTTATGATGACCATTGCATTTTCTTCTTTAATCAGCAAATGTAATGAATTATACCAATTTGGGAATGTTGAATCAATGTTGCATTCCTGGGGGAAAAAAATCCATTTGTTTTTAATATATTGTTCTTTTTATATATTCCCAGATTTGATTAAATTTTGTTAAAGATTTTTGCATCTGTGTTTGTCTTGGATACTTTGTTACTTTCCTTTCTTGTAATAACCTTGTCGGGTTCTGCTTTCAGAGTTATGCTGGCTCTGTGAAACGAGCAGTATATCCTCTTTTCTATTTTGTTGTATAGGTTTGATATTACTTCTTTTTTTGTGTTTGGTTGAATTCACTAATGAAACAATTTGGGCCAGTAGTTTTCTTTGTAAAAAGTTAGGAATTACAAATTCAGTTTCTTTAACAGATATATGGCCATCTAGGTGGTTTATGACTTCTTTCCATTTTGGAAGGTTGTGTTTTTCAAGCAGTTTGTCTTTTTCATCTATGTTGTCACATTTTTAACTTAAAGTTGTTTGTACTGTTCCCTTGTTCTCCTTTTAACGTTGGTGGGCTTTGTCTCGGTATCCTTTCTTTTATTCTTGATGTTGGTGATTTGAGAGTGAGGGAGGGGAAGCATTGACCTGAGCCTGGGATTAGATTCCTGAAATTGGTAAGAGCTATTCCAAAATCTTTCAATTTAGCATTGGTTTTTTTTCCTTTTTTTTTTTTTTTTTTTTTTTTTTTTCATAAGGCAGGGTCTCACTCTGTCTCCCAGGCCAGAGTACAGTGGCATAATCCTGGTTTACTGCAGCCTTTACTTCCTGGGCTCAGGTGATTCTGCCACCGTAGTCTCCTGAGTAGCTGGGACTACAGGTGTGTGCCACTGTGCTTCACTAATTTTTGTATTTTTTTTTTTTTTTAATAGAGACGGGGTTTTGCTGTCTTGCCCAGGGTGAGGCCCTTGATTGATTCTGGAACTCAACTTTAAGAGTTGAAGGCCTCTCTGAGAAGAGGAAGAGAAAAGAGAAAATGGGAAGGAGCTGACATGAGGGCGTGGGCAGTTCATTTCCAGGCTGCGTGGCTGCACTGATGGGAGCTGGGAACTGAGCAATGAAAATACCATGAACAGGCAGAGGGGAGCGTGTCCAGCTTGCAGGAACAATATCTTGGTTGCACTAAACTTAACTACCTGTGTCCCAGATTACTTGACAATGAAAAGTTGACTCAGTGGCATTTCATTATAATATTTAAAGGAGAGTTCAGCCAAGCAACAATAAAAAATAGCAGACTATTTTAATAGATTCTACTTTTTGAGCCATTTTCACTCAGCCTGGGTATGCGATGATTCTAAAAGTTTTTTCAGACAATTTTTTAAGATTTTGGATGATTTGTGTAATACTACATTAATCAATACTAGCTGTGATTTTGTTGTTGTGGTTTTGTTTTGTTTGAGAAGGAGTCTTGTTCTATTGCCCAGGCTGGAGTGCGGTGACACCATCTAGGCCTACTCCAGCCTCTGCCTCCCAGGTTCAAGCGATTCTCCCACGTCAGCCTCCCGAGTAGCTGGAACTGCAGGTGCTCACCACCACGCCCAGCTAATTTGTGTATTTTTAGTAGAGACGGAGTTTCACCATGTTGGCCAGGCTGGTCTCGAACTCCTGATCTCAGGTGATCCACCTGTCTTGGCCTCTCAAAGTGCTGGGATTACAGGCGTGAGCCACTGCTCCCGGCCACTCTAGCTGTGATTTTTACATTTTGTTCTGTGCTTTGACTAAACTGTAATTGGAGTGATCCGTAATCTCACCTCTCTTTTACTTGCTGACAATTGAGTGGACAACTTTGACTTTACTAATTGTTTAAATTATGCCTTGCTTTTTGTTTTTTAAATTTTTTCTTGGGTGGTGGTTGTCACTTTTAATTTCTCTAAGTAGTTTTTGAAAACTCGAAGGTTTTCTGTAGAACACTTTTAGACAAATGATACATGTTCATTATTGAAAAATTCCAGCAATATAGAAAAGAACAAAGATAGCAGAAAAAAATTCATGCAGTCTTCATTGTGAATTAACCATCATTGAGTGAGATTCATTCAAGAGTATCTATATAGTGTACCTCTGTGTGTATACAGGGAGAAGGCCTGATTGACAGATAGCTTCCTGTTAAGGAATAGTACTACACACACTTTTTTTTTCTAAGTTGGTTGTGTTTAATATAACATCAATTTAAAATAAGAAAAGGAAGCCAAAGTGAAATAAGAAATTGTTGAACATAAAATATTTCTTTATCCCAAGAAATAAGTTTCTAAAAACTCTCTAAAAGGTTAAGAAAATATGAGAATAAGAAGTGGGAATCAGTTGGGCGCAGTGGCTCATGCCTGTAATTTCAGCCCTTTGGGAGGCTGAAGCAGGAGTTTGAGACCAGCCTGGGCAACATGACGAGACCCTGTCTCTACAAAGAATACAAAAATTACCTGGGCCTGGTGACGCGCTCCTGTAGTCCCGGCTACTTGGGAGACTGAAGTGGGAGGATCTCTTGAGCCCATGAGGTCAAGGCTGCAGTGAGCCAAGATGGCACCACTGCACTCCAGCCTAAGTGACACAGTGAGACCCTGTTTCAAGAAGAAAAGTAAAAAAGTTGAAATCACTCTAACTTGAAAAAATAAAAAAAACAAACTTCATGTTTCAATTTTAGTTGATATTGGTCAACACCCTGCTATGAAATCAGAAAAAATAAATTATATAACACTTCCTTTTCTTCTCTCCCAGTTTTTGTTATGGTTTTGTTTTTTGTTTAGTTTTCTTGGCGATTTTGTTAATTATTTTCTATAACTGTATTCCCTCCATTGTTTACTCTGACTTATATGTTTATGTAGATTTACTGCTCTCTGTAATTTCTTTTACCATAGTTCCATTTTTTTATTTTGATTTGAAACCTGGCTGGCTGTATTTTAACATCAAGCATTTTTTTCCAGGAGGGCCTCAGAGGTGTCAGATTCCTTACATTTTTGAAAACTTAACTACTTTTCTTCTCACCTCACCTTAGTTAAAGCCTTTATAGTCTTTTTAAATTCCAATTTCTATGGATAATATCAAATCTCTTCCCCCAACCCCAGTCACCCTCCTTTGAGACCCCTTCATCTTATTGTTCCAGTATGAATCGATTACTCTCCACAACCTGAACTTTTGAAATATTAATTTAAATTATATATATTGACCCTGAGTAATTTTGGTTTTCAGCGTGGTATGCTGTTAAGGAGAAAGTCAGTGAAGGTTTATTTGTAGAATAACATGAAAAAGAACAATTGACAACTCTGTACACTGTTTTTGATTTTGCTGTTTCTCATTTAATATGTCTTAAAAGATGTGTCCATGTAAGTATATAAAGAGCTCTTCTTTCTCTTCATTTTTATTTCATTCTTTTTTTTTTGAGACGGAGTCTTGCTCTGTCACCCAGGCTGGAGTACAGTGGCATCCTCTTAGCCCAGTGCAGCCTCAAACTCCTGAGTTCAAGTGATTCTCACCTGACTCAGCCTCTCACCACAGGCACGCGACCATGCACAGCTACTTTTTTTTAATTTTTTTGTAGTGACAGGGTCTTGCTATGTTGCCCAGGCTGGTCTCAAACTCCTGGCCTCAAGTGATCCTCCCACCTTGGTCTCCCAAAGTGCTGGGATCACAGGTGTGAGCCACTGTGCTTAGCCCTTCATTCTCTTCAATGGCTGTCTAATAAGTAGTCCACTGAACAGACGTCCTGCGTTTAATTTAGTGCTATTGAAGGGCATTTAGGTTACTTTTAAACATTTACTGTTCCTGACTGTGCTTTAGTGAAAAGCTTTCTATCTGTGCTATTTTTGAGTATATTTGTAAGATCAGTTCCTACAAATGAAATTTCTGTATCAAAGGGTAGATGCTATTGTTTTAATGTGAAATAAGTTATAGACACAAAGAGTTATAATTTATATGTAAGGAGGAAAGAATGAAAGCAAACACTGGTGTGCCTCCCTACTACTCAGTTGAAGAAACAGAGCACTCCCAGTGGCTTTGTCCCTCCCTCCAGTGTGCTCCTCAGTAGTTATTATGCTTCCTCTCCTTCCCTTGCAGGGGTAAACAATGTCCTGAATTTTGTGGGTTTTTTTTTTTTTTTTTTTTTTTTTTGAGACAGAGTTTTGCTCTTATTACCCAGGCTGGAGTGCAATGGCGCAGTCTCGGCTCATTGCAACCTCCACCTCCCAGGTTCAAACGATTCTCCTGCCTCAGCCTCCTGAGTAGCTGGTGCCCGCCACCACACCTGACTAATTTTTTGTATTTTTAGTAGAGACGGGGTTTCATCACGTTGGCCAGGCTTGTCTCGAACTCCTGAACTCAGGTGATCCACCCACCTCGGCCTCCCAAAATGCAGGGATTACAGATGTGAGCCACCACGCCGGGCCCTGAATTTTGTCTTTCTTACTCCTTTGCTTTTTGTTACAGGGTTAATACGTATTTCTGAAACCCTAAGTAACATAAGTTTTGCATATTTTTATACTGGTTACAAATTATATCACAATTGTTTATATTCCTCTTTAACTTGCTCTTTTCGCTCAACATTAAGGTTTTGGAGATGCATCCATGTTGATGCATCTAAGACTTTGGTGTGTTAATACCAAAGAGTAGTATTAGAATTACATTGTGTGAACCTACCTTGGTGTGTGTATTCTCGTGTTCATGAATATAAGGGCTGTTTCTAGTTTTTGGCTGTTACATACAAATGCTACTGTGAGCATTCTTGCCTGGCACAAGGACAAGAATGTCTTTGAAATACAGTCCAAGGACTAGAACTGCTAGGCCATATGGTCTAACAATCTTGTTTATTTAGGCAACTTTTCTTAGTGAAATATACAAACAGAAGACGCACAAATCAAAATGCATAACTCAATGAATTTTCGCCAAGTACTCATTTAGCTGGCTCCCAGGAAAGTAACAGAACACACACCAGCCCCTTAGAAGCCCCGTGTCACTTTTAATCACAGTCTTTAACCCTTGCTCCCCTAGAGTAACTACCTACTTTTCTGACTTACAATCATATAGTTTTGTTTTGTTTTGTTTTTTTGCTTGCTTTTAAGTTTTACATGAATGGTATCCTACACTATGATTGTTCTAGCTTCTTTTTTTTTTTTTTTTTTTGAGACGGAGTGTCGCTTTGTCGCCCAGGCTGGAGTTCAGTGTTGCGATCTTGGCTCACTCCAACTTCCGCCTTCCAGGTTCAAGTGATTCTCCTGCCTGAGCCTCCCAAGTACCTGGGATTACAGGTGCGCACCACCATGCCCGGCTAATTTTTGTATTTTTAGTAGAGACGAGGTTTCACCATGTTGGCCAGGCTGGTCTCGAACTCCTGACCTTAGGTGATCCACCCACCTCAGCCTCCCAAAGTGCTGGGATTACAGGTGTGAGCCACTGCACGGGGCCTGTTCTAACTTCTTTTGCCCAACATTGTGAGATGTGTCCATGTTGTAATGTGTAGTCATAGTTTGTTCTCATTGCTGTGCAGCATGCCATTGTTTGACTATAATACAATTTAAGTGTCCATTGTACTGTTGATGACCTTTGGGTTGTTTCTAGCTTTTTTCCTTTTTTTTTTTTTTTTTTTTTTTTAAGACAAGGTCTCTTGTCCAGGTGGAGTGCAGTGGTGCTGTCACAGCTCACTGCAGCCTCAACCTCCTGGGCTCAATCAGTCCTCCCACTTCAGCCTCCCGAGTAGTTGGAAGTACAGGCATGCACCACCAAGCCTGGCTGATTTTTGCAATTTTTGTAGAGATGGGGGGTGTTACCCAGGTTGGTGTTGAACTCCTAGGCTCAAGCGATCCACCTGCCTTGACCTCCCAAAATGCTGGGATTATAGGCATGAGCCACTGAGCCTGGCCAGTTTCTAGCTTTTTTTGAATACAAATAATGCTCCTTTGAACATTTTGTAATACTTTTGTTGGTGCAGATATACAAGAGTCTCTCTCTGGAAAATATAACCCAGTTAGAATTGCTGGATGTGTCATACGTATTTTCAGTTCTAAAAGATAATGTCAAATGATTGTGCATTTTAAATGTTCGTATTTTGTCACCGCCCTTCGTGGTTGTTATATGCCTTTATTTTCCACCAGGAACATCCTTATGATCTCATGTGCCTGTCTCCCCACACTCTCACTTTTTTTTTTTTTTTGAGATGGAGTCTCGCTCTGTTACCCAGGCTGGAGCGCAGTAGCGCAGTCTCGGCTCACTGCAACCTCCACTTTCCGGGTCCCAGTGATTCTCCTGCCTCAGCCTCTCCAGTAGCTGAGATTACAGGCACCTGCCACTATGCCTGGCTAATTTTTATATTTTTAGTAGAGACAGTTTTTCACTATTTTGGCCAGGCTGGTCTCAAACTCCTGACCTTAGGTGATCCACCCACCTTGACCTCCCAAACTGCTGCTCAACCTCCCGAAGTGCTGGGATTATAGGCGTGAGCCACAGAGCCAGGCCTCCAGACACTCTGATTTATACATTGTTTCATAAAAATGCTTTTCTTTGCCAGCCTGATAGGTGAAAAGAGATATCTTATTGAAGATAAATGGATACCTGAGACTATATTTTATAAGCAACCCTAATTTAACACTTGGTTTTCTTTTGTAGCCTGAGACCTCAGATCATTGTTCCCTCCCAGAGGATCTAGTGAGTATTTCCGGATGGTGTGGATTGGGGTTAATTGTGCCTTTGATGATAAGTGTTACAAGGAAATGATAGTAACAGCTTCATGAATTTCTTTCTCTTTGGTTGCTGATCAGTGACTTTTTAATCTAACATGGTAACTATATTATGAAAATGTTAGCAATAGTGATATTATGGGTAGTCCTGTCCCCAACTTAAAAAATAAAAATAAAGTTATGTTGCTTTTCATTAAAAGGAAACAAAGAGGAAGACACAGCTCTCCTGCCTTGCTCTAGGGCTCAGGCTTGCTGTACTTGTTTTTCAAGGATGACTTTGTGACCTTTTCTCCACTTGAGTCCTCCTAAGAAAAGCACAAGAGGGCCACAATTTGATCGTCTTGGCCTGGATTCAGCTGCAGGAGTGTTCTTATGCATTCTGACCTCAGCATGTTGGCTTTGTCCTGTCCTCATGCAGATATGGCAGGGGGAGCAGTACTTCCAGCTGGCAAAGCTGGTCACATTTCCTCTGTTTTCATAAGACTTTGCTACCTGAGTTGACAAACTTCAGTGTACCATGTAACCAGATTCGGTGACTGTTTCAGAAAAGAGGTTTTTAAATTTTGGGTTTCTTGAGTTTCTAGAATCCTGAGTCATTCTGATTTTCAGTGATTCAGGATTGGATTGTTCTAGATGTCTGAAACTCAGGAACTACGATAGCTTTTCAGGCAAAGACAGCATTGACTTTTAGCAAATCTACTTTAAATCCATTCTGTTATATAAAAGGGTGTTTGCATGTGTATTAGTCCGTTCTCACGCTGCTTGCTATAAAGAACTGCCTGAGACTAGGTAATTTATGAAGGAAAGAGGGTTAACTGACTCACAGTTCTGCATGGCTGGGGAGGCCTCAGGAAACTTAGAATCATGGCAGAAGAGGAAGCAAATGTGTCCTTCATGATGGCTGGAAGGAGAAGTGTCAAGCAAAGGGGGAAAAGCCCCTTGTAAAACCATCAGATCTCATGAGAACTCATTATCACAAGAACAGCATGAGGGTAACTGCCCCTGTGGTTTAATTACCTCCTACCAGCTCCCTGCCATGACACATGGGGATTATAGGAACTACAATTCAAGATGAGATTTGAGTGGGGACCCAGCCAAACCATATCAGTATGTATATATGTGTGTGTGTGTACACACACACACACACACACACACACATTTTTTTTCCAGGCTCCAGAATAGACATTTTTTTTTTCCCCGAATTCCTGGAGCATAAGTGTCAGATTGCATTTAGAAAAGCCTGTCTACCATGGATTGTGGCAGTGTTGCTTTGGAAGCCACATAGACTTTCTTTTTATTTCAGTAGTCATCATGAGAAGGCTCTGATTTGATGACTCCATGTTAAGTCAACTCTGGAACAGTATCACGTATTTGAAGACTGAAAATAACTGCTTTTGTTCAGTTCTACATTTGGCGTCTTATTTTGATGTTTGCAGTGTACTTTTCCCTCTGAAAGTTTTTTAGTAGCCTTTGGCAAAAAGCGGTAATACTTACTACTTGGGAGCATTATTTTTTATGCCCAGTTTCCCAATTTTAACTATCTTGAGGTCCTAAGTTAAAGGCGGGGGGCTTGAATGATAGATGATTACTGAGCAGAGATGCATTTTTCACATCAGACTTAAACCTAGGCTTGCGATCTAGTAAATGGGCACAGCTTTCAGACTCACCTGGCATTGGGGAGCTTATTTTGGGGGAGGGATAAGGGAGGCTGTTGCCATATGTCAGAAAGAATTCTGTCTGGGAGACATTCTTGCCAGGTGTTATCAGCCCATTTTTGTTTCTACATCTGTGTGTGTAGAGCTCTGGAATAGAATTGTTAAGTCTGAGCAAGAAAAAGCATAGCGGGTTAAGGACAAGTGAAACGAAGAGAACCCTCTGTCCCTGGCAGAATCTGCATGTACATTTCTTGTCTGTCCTTGTCTCTCTTCTTCCTGTCTGGCCCATTGCAGAGAGTATTGGAAGTTTCCAACCATTGGTGGTACTCTATGCTCATCCTACCTCCTTTGCTGAAAGACAGTGTGGCAGCGCCCCTGCTGTCTGCCTACTACCCTGACTGTGTTGGCATGAGCCCCTCCTGCACCAGCACAAACCGCGCCGCTGCCACTGGCAATGCCAGCCCTGGGAAGCTGGAGCACTCCAAGGCTGCCCTCTCCGTGCACGGTGAGAGCCATTCCTGGGACTCCCTGCTTTCTATTCCCCGCTCCCCTCCCTGAGGAACGTGTGAGTGAGCAAAACGCAAAGGATTTTTTTTAAATGTGCAGGCTGGGCACAGTGGCTCATGCCTGTAATCCCAGCACTTTGGGTGGCCGAGGCAGGAGGGTCCCTTGAGGCCAGGAGTTTGAGACCGGTCTGGGCAACATAGCGAGATCTCGTCTCTAAAAATAAATAAATAGATAAAAATTATTTTTAAAAATGTATGCGACCTATGATATAAAGCCCCTCATTATTTCATGGAAATGGTTGTACTGTGGATCAGTCACATCATTTGTGTATAGTGTGTGGTTAATTTTTCCTCAGTAGTTTGGAAAACCTGCAACACTCATGAATTACCTACAGGACTTAATGAGTATTTATTTGGAAGTTGGATTGCTGTCTTGTTTAATGATAACATGAACTCTGACTTACTGGGAAAAGGTTTTCAACTATATGAGCAGTCCTTTTTCTTCTGAGTCTTTCTGCCTCTAATTATTGCCACTGGTGATCCCAGCGAAATCACCTACTCTCAAAAAAACTGCAGAGCAGGCATACTTTTGATTATTTACTTTATTTTTTATTTTATTTTATTTTTTGAGATGGAGTCTCACTCTGTTGCCCAGACTGTAGTGCAGTGACACTATCTCAGCTCACTGCATCCTCCAGCTCCTGGGTTCAAGCAATTCTCCTGCCTCAGTCTCCTGAGTAGCTGGGACTCCAAGCACGTGCCACTACAGCTGGTTAATTTTTTTTTTTTTTTCTTTTTGAGACAGAATCTCAGTCTGTCACCCAGGCTGGAGTGCAGTGGCGTGATCTTGGCTCCCTGCAACCTCCTCCTCCCAGGTTCAAGCGATTCTCCTGCCTCAGTCTCCCGAGTAGCTGGGATTACAAGCGCATGCTACCACACCTGGCTAATTTTTATATTTTTAGTAGAGATGGGGTTTCATCATGTTGCCCAGGCTGGTCTCGAACTTCTGACCTCAAGTGATCCGCCCCCTTCAGCCTCCCAAAGTGCTGGGATTACAGACATGAGCCAGTGCACCCGGCCTGATTATTTACTTTAAAGGCATCTTTAAAAATCTACATTAGAATTCTTGGTGTAAGAAGCAAGAATTCTGGATTTCCTACGCCTGGACAGGAACAAATGGCATTTTTGATTATGCAAATAGATTTTTGCACTGTGGTCCTATCTTAAGGTTTTGTTGTTGTTGTTGTTTACCAATAACACTGGAATATAGATGTGGTGGAAATCAAAGCTAAAGTGGTAATTCCCAGGGTTAATGAAGATGCGATGAAGAGGCATTTGACTGCTGTTAGGGAGAGTGTATGTTTACGAAGGAAGATTTGGCAGTGTGCATCAAAAACTTTTAAACAGACACTCTTTGACCCAGCAGTGCTATTTCTAGGAATTTATCTTAAACAGCTAATCAAATGTAAATCCAAAGATAGGTACAAAGAAATTTCTTTTCACATTGCTTGTAATAGTGAAGTAATTGGATGAAATGTAATGCCTAGCAATAGGGAAATGGTTAAGTAATAAGAAAATATACAGCCATTGAATGCATATTTAGTGACACAGGAAAGTATTCATGGTATTGTACACATTAAAAAGCAGGTTAGAAAACGGCACTTTCATAACATTTTTTTCAGTTTCATGAAGGCAAATATCTATTATGTGAATATTCTCTGTTAATAGACACAGAAATAAGGATAAAGTGTACCTCTAAATGTAACTCCACTACTGACATAATCAGGGGTTAGTGATTGTTATTTACTTCTATGAACCTATTCATTTTATAGTCAGAAAAATGCCATAAGAGTTATTTTAGGCCGGGCACAGTGGCTCACACCTGTAATCCCAGCACTTTGGGAGGCCGAGACGGGCAGATCATGAGGTCAAGAGTTTGAGATCAGCCTGGCCAAAATGGTGAAACTCCGTCTCTACTAAAAAAAAATACACAAAAAATTAGCCAGGTGTGTGGTATGTGCCTGTAATCCCTGCTACTGGGGAGGGTGAGGAAGGAGAATCACTTGAACCTGGGAGGCGGAGGTTGCAGTGAGCTGAGATTGTGCCATTACACTCCAGCCTGGGTGACAGAACAAGACTCTGTCTCGAGAAAAAAAAAAAGTTATTTTAAAAACGTACCTCCATGAGGAGTGGGCATTCAGTGGATATAGAATTTGTCTTACAAGATGAGAAAGTTCTAGAGATCTGTGCACAGCAGCATGAATGTACTTAACACTACTGAACTGTACACTTAAAAACAGATAAGAAGGCCGGGCGCAGTGGCTCACGCCTGTAATCCCTGCACTTTGGGAGGCTGAGGCAGGTGGATCACGAGGTCAGGAGATCAAGACCATCCTGGCTAACACAGTAAAACCCCGTCTCTACTAAAAATACAAAAAAAAAAAAAAAATTAGCTGGGCATGGTGGCGGGCGCCTGTAGTCCCAGCTACTCGGGAGGCTGAGGCAGGAGAATGGTGTGAACCCGGGAGGCGGAGCTTGCAGCGAGCCGAGATCGCGCCACTGAACTCCAGCCAGGGCGACAGAGTGAGACTCCATCTTAAAAAGAAAAAAAAGATAGCTGGGCATGGTAGCTCATGCCTGTAATCCCAGCACTTTGGGAGGCTGAGGTTGGCAGATCACTTGAGGCCAGTACCTTGAAACCAGCTTGGCCAACATAGTGAAACCCATAGCTACTAAAAATAGAAAAATTAGCCAGATGTGGTGGCGAGCACCTGTAATCCCAGCTACTCAAGAAGCTGAGGCATGAGAATCACTTGGACCCAGGAGATGGAGGTCGCAGTAAGCCGAGATTGGACCACTGCACTCCAGCCTGGGCAACAGAGCAAGACTCTGTCTCAAAAAAAAAAAAAATTAAGATGATAAATTTTATGGTATGCATTTTTTTACCACAGTTAAAAATAAAATAATTTTTCCATGCTATGGAAATTAAAGTTGAGAATAGCATGAAGAAAGAATGAGAAAAATACTTAATTTATGTACGTTTTGTCTAACTGGGTGGAGGAAGCAAAGGTATTTATGTAGGGTAGAGAGTGGAGCTTGTCTAGGCTTACTTTTTGGTTTGCTTTTGCCCTTTAATTCTTCTGGATTTGGAAGTTACAGCTTGTAGGAGTTGCCCATTTGTGTTACCTATCAGTTCCAGGCATGAACCGATACTTCCAGCCTTTCTACCAGCCCAATGAGTGTGGCAAAGCCCTCTGTGTGAGGCCGGATGTGATGGAACTGGATGAGCTCTATGAGTTTCCAGAGTATTCCCGAGACCCCACCATGTACCTGGCTTTGAGAAACCTCATCCTCGCACTGTGGTATACTAACTGCAAAGTAAGTAAGGGCATGTTAGCCAATAGCACTGGACAGAGGAGGACCATGTTGAAAAGGAGGGGATACTTCATCTGGGGATGGAACCTTTTATGCCAGGGTTTCTCAGCCGTGCCTCTGTTGACAATTTGGGCAGATAATTCTTTGTGGTGGGGACTGTCTTTGCACTGTAGGATATTTAGCAAGATCCCTGGCTTCTACCCACTAGATTCCAGTAATGCTTCCCACCTGTGAAAACCAAATACGTCTATAGACATTTCCAAATGGGGACAGAATCACCCCTTGTTGAAAACCACCACTTTAGACCACACATAGTCAGAATGCTGACTCTCCAGTGGTGAGTATAAGGTGCAAGGTTTGGTCCAAAGAGTTCCAATGGCAATGGCAGGAGGGAAAAACATCAAAGATTGAATTACATACAAATCCTTGAGGACAGGAATTTTTATTCACCTCGGCATCCTAAATCAACCAAGACCAGTACATTTCTTCTGTTGGGTCTAAATACATGTTAGGGCTGTCACACTGTACCCACCTTGAAAAAGGTGAAAATAAATTATGGGGCAGAATGGGAATACTAGCTAAAAACAAAAAACAAAGGGGCTGGGTGAAGTGGCTTGTGTCTGTAATTCCAGCACTTTGGGAGGCTGAGGCAGGAGGATCGCTTGAGCCTAGGAGTTCAAGACCAGCCTGGGCAACATAATGAGACCCCCCCATCTCTACAAAAAATTAAAAAATTAGCCATGTGTGGTGGCACATGCCCATAGTCCTAGCTACTTAGGAGGCTGAGACAGGAGGATGGCCTGAGCTTGGGAGGTCAAGGCTGCAGTAAGCCGTGATTGTGCCACTGCACTCTAGCTTGGGTGACAGAATGAGACCCTGTTTCCAAAAAAACCCACAGAGATTCTCTTGACCCTAGCATTTTTCTGATTTATTAATTTAATCAGCAGTTTGCGTCATTGCTGAATTCAGAACATTGTGCAAGACTGCCAAAGTGATCTTGACTAAAGAAAGATATGCCAGTTTCACCTTGGCATTTCACTGGATTAGAATCCAGAATGAAATGACATAACCTGATTAAGTTATGGCTGTTAATGCAACTATATGAATTATAGCCAGGTGAGTAGGCTGTGCGAGGTAGCCAGCTGAGTAGGCTGTGCAACTTATTTTCCGCCCAGTAGCCTTGAGATAGGTGCTCAGTAAACCAAACTGAACAAAATTGTGGTCAGAGTTTCCTATAAGTAAATTATAAAGAGTGGTGGTGTGGCCCTGTAGTCCCAGCTACTTGGGACACTGAGGCAGGAGGATCGCTTGTGCCTAGGAGTTCAAGACCAGCCTGGGCAAGATAGTGAGATCCCGTCTCAAAAAAAAAAAAATACAACAGAGAAACACCTTGGATTCATTTTTTTTTTTGGTCACATTTCTTTCTGTTTGACTTTGAAATTTGACTTATACAGGGGAAGAATATTATAGAAGTCCTAAGCTTACCTGGATCTATTTTAGTTTTTCATAAGATACAATTTATTGTGTATACCGGCTGGGCGCGGTGGCTCACGCCTGTAATCCCAGCACTTTAGGAGGCCCAGTTGGGTGGATTACATGAGGTCAGGAGTTTGAGACCAGCCTGGCCAACATGGCAAAACCCCGTCTCTACTAAAAATACAAATAATTAGCTGGAGGTGGTGCTGGGTGGCCTTTAATCCCAGCCACTTGGGAGGCTGAGGCAGGAGAATCGCTTGAACCCAGGAGGAGGAGGCTGCAGTGAGCTGAGATCACACCATTGCACTCCAGCCTGGGCAACAAGAACGAAACTCTGTCTAAAAAAAAAAAAAAAAAAAAAGAATTTATATACTTAATACTATAGTGGGAAAACATAAATATATTGGCTTTAAAAGAATCAAAGACTTTGAAATGTGTGCTTTCTTTTTTTTTTTTTTTTTTTTTTTGAGACACAGACTTGTTCTGTTGCCCAGGCTGGAGTACAGTGGCACCATCACAGCTCACTACAGCAGCCTCGCCTTCCCAGTCTCAGGTGATTCTCCCATCTTAGTCTTCTGAGTAGTTGGGACCACAGGCACGTGCCACCATGCCCAGCTAATTTTTTTTTTTAGAGATGAGGTCTTGCTGTGTTGCCCAGGCTGTTCTCAAACTTCTGGGCTTAAACAATCCTCCTGGCTTGGCCTCCCAAAGTGCTGGAATTACAGGCATGAGCCACCACACCTGGCCTTGAAATGATTTTTTTTAAACTTCATGAATACAAACAAATGTATTATCTTCTGCAGCAATCCAAGCCAGTGTTGTATGTGTTATTTCTTGAATATTTGGTTCTGGTGGAGCTGGGGGGTTGGTGACAAGGAGCAGAGGAGAGGCCTGGGATGGGAGCTGCTTGGTGCCTGTTCTTGCTTCCTGACACTGGGTGGAGGTGGTGGCATCATTACTCTTGAGTCTTTGAAACAGATCAAGGTCATGCCAAGGCTGGGTGAGCAGAGAAAGACAGTGTCTTTTTTTTTTTTTTAAGACAGAGTTTCACTCTTGTTGCCCAGGCTGGAGTGCAATGATGCGATCTCAGCTCACCGCAATCTCCGCCTCCTGGGTTCAAGCGATTCTCCTGCCTCAGCCTCCTGAGTAGCTGGGATTACAGGTGTGCGCCACCAAACCCGGCTAATTTTTTTGTGTTTTTAGTAGAGACAGGGTTTCACCATGTTGGCCAGGCTGGTCTCTTAACTCCTGACCTCAAGTGATCCACCTGCCTCAGCCTCCCAAAGTGCTGGGATTACAGGCGTGCACTACCACGCCTGGCTAAATTTCTTGTATTTTTAGTAGAGATGGGGTTTCAACCATGTTGGCCAGGCTGGTCTCGAACTCCTGACCTCAGGTGATCCACCCGCCTTGGCCTCCAAAGTGCTGGGATTACGTGCTGTAAAGGCGTGAGCCACCGTGCTGGTTCCCCCATCCCCCCAACCATCTTGTCAGTCACAAGAATCCAGCTTTTTCTGTGGTCAGTAGGATCAGCAGCCTGGATTTCTGTAGTGGCCTTTGTTGACTCAGGAGTGTGATGTGCTCTGCCGCCATGCACCTGCTGCAGTCGTTCTTGCTCAGGGAAAACCGACACGATAAAGTGTAAATTGCTATATTTTCCTGTTGTCTCCTTCTTTTTCCCCACTGGGCAAACCTCCCTTTGTTCTTACTGTCTTAGTGATAAGTGATGGATTTGAATAACCTGGAGAATTTTTTTTTAAATTATTGTGGTTAAATACACATAACATAAAATTTACCATATTTTTTTCCTTCTTATTTTTTTTAAATGGAGACAAGGTCTTGCTATGTTGCACAGGCTGGTCTCCAAGTTTTGGGCTCAAGTGATTGCTCCTCCTGCCTCAGCCTCCCAAAGTGGTGGGATTACAGGCATGAGCCACCGTGCCTAGCCCTATTCCATCTTAACCATTGTGAAATTTACAGCTCAGTGGCATTAAATACATATATAATGTATAACCATCACCACTATCTAGTTCCAGAACTTTTTCATTATCCCAAGAGGGAACCCTATACCAATTAAACAGTCTCTTCTCATTTTCTCCTGCTCTCAGCCCCTGGCAACCACGAATCTACTCTCTATCTGTATAGATTTGCCTGTAATAGATATTTCCAGTAAATGGAAGCATATAATATGTGGCCTTTTATGACTGGCTTCTTTTGCTTGGCATAATGTTTTCAAGGTTTATCCATGTTGTAGCACGTCAGAACTTCACTCACTTTTATAGCTGAATAATATTTCATTGTTCATATCACATTTTGTTTGTCCATTCGTCCACTGATGGGCTTTGAATTGTTTCCACCTTTTCCCTATTTGAATACTGCTGCTGTGAACATTTTGTTTGAACATCTGTTTTCAGTTCTTTTTGGTATATACTAAGGATTGGAATTACTGGGTCATATGGTATTTTAGGTTTAACCTTTTGAGGAACCAAAAAAAGTTTCAAACATTAATTGGTTTGCCTTTTAAATTGAGAAATTTAAACATTGTATTTATTTATCGTGTACAATCTGATGTTTTGAAATACATATATGTATGTTGTGGCCGGGCACGGTGGCTCACGCCTGTAGTCCCAGCACTTTGGGAGGTCGAGGCGGGTGGATTACCTGAGGTCAGAAGTTTGAGACCAGCCTGGCCAATGTGGTGAAACCCTGTCTCTACTAAAAATACAAAAAATTAGCCGGGCTTGGTGGTAGGCGCCTGTAGTCCCAGCTACTTGGGAGGCTGAGGCAGGAAAATCATTTGAACCCGGGAGGCAGAGGTTGCAGTGAGCCGAGATTGTGCCACTGCACTCCAGCCTGGTGACAGAGTGAAACTCCATATCAAAAAAAAAAAAAAAGAGAAAGAAAATATGTATACATTGTGGAATAGCTAAATTGACCTAATTAACGTATGCCTTACATCATATAGTTACCTTTTTTGTCTCTGATAACTTAAAACTCTCTCCATGATATTCAAGTATATAATACATTGTTATTAACTATATGTTGTAGTTACCATGTTGTAAAATGGATCTCCTGAAATTATTCCTCTTGTCTAAACTGAAATTTTTTATCCTTTGACCAACATCTCCCCGCTATTCCCCCTCCCCTCAGCCCCGGTAATGCCCATTCTACTTTCTGCTTCTGTGAGTTGGGTGTTTTTAGATTCCACATGTGTATGTGAGATCATGCAGTATTTGTCTGTGTCTGGTTTATTTCACTTAACATAATGTGCTTCTGGTTCAACCATGTTGTTGCAAATGACAGGATTTCCTTTTTTTCTTTTAAGGCTGAATAGTATTCCATTGTGTGGATATAGCACATTTTCTTTATTCATCCATCAGTGGACTCCAGGTTGATTCCATATCATGGCAGTTGTGATAATGCTGCAATGAACATGGGAGTGCACATCTCTCTTTGACGTGCTGATTCATTTTATTTGACTACCCTGCAGTGGGGGTTGCTGGATCGTATGGTAGTTTTATTTTTTAGTTTTTTGAGACACCTCCGTACTGTCTTCCATAATGACTGTACTAATGTACATTCCACCAACAGTGAATAAGGGTTCTTTTTTCTCTTCATCATTTGTTACCTTTTGTCTTCTTTGATAATAGCCATTTTAACAGGTGTGAGGTGATTTTCATTGTGGCTTTAATTTGCATTTCCTTGATGATTAGTGATGGTGAGGAGTTTTTCATATATACTTGGACTTTTGTACCTTTGGGTTCCACATCTTGAAAATATTTGGGAAAAAAAATGGATGGTGGCATCTCTACTAAACACTATACAGACTTTCCTTGTCATTATTTCCTACACAATATTATGTAACAACTATTTACATAGCATTTACATTGTATTAGGTATTATAAGTAATCTAGAGGTAGCGTAAAGCATGCTGGAGTCTGCGTAGATTATATGTAAATATTATGTCATTTTACATAAGGGACTTGAGAATCTATGGATTTTGGTCTTCTCAGGAGGATTCTAGAACCAATCTCCTCCTGGAAACCAGGGAGGACTGTACCTGTTGGCCATTTGAGCATCTGCCTTTGAGAAATGTTGATTCAGATCTTTTACTTGTCTTTTAAATGGATTGTTTTCCTGCTATTGTTTGAATTTCTTGGGACTTTTTTAAAAAAGCAGTTTGGTTTTATTTCCAAACACAGGAAGCTCTTACTCCTCAGAAATGTATTCCTCACATCATCGTCCGGGGTCTCGTGCGTATTCGATGCGTTCAGGAAGTGGAGAGAATACTGTATTTTATGACCAGAAAAGGTCTCATCAACACTGGAGTTCTCAGCGTGGGAGCCGACCAGTATCTTCTCCCTAAGGACTACCACAATGTAGGTGATTATAGCTTTAGCGATAGCCTTGCCATTGATCAGGACAAACGCTAGTCTGTTGCTGTTAATAAATATAGTAAAAGCCACATTATCACCATAAAACTTAACAGAAGCAAGGCTTTCGCAGAATGTGTTTCTCCTGAAAGGAGAATATCAAGCACTCTTTCCCCAGATTGTAGGGAAAAAGGGAAGGGAGTAATAAGACAAGTGCCACCACATTCTTTAGGAAAATAACTTTCTAAGGACATCAAAGAAATGTAAATGAACGAATTTGCTCTGCAGTTCCGGAACAACTAAAACAGGACGTTGTTATCATCTGCTCTAATTGGACTTTTGTTTCTTTTCTTTTTAAGAAATCAGTCATCATTATCGGGGCTGGTCCAGCAGGATTAGCAGCTGCTAGGCAACTGCATAACTTTGGAATTAAGGTAGGATTTTGGGGACATGGAGTTAGAACAGATGGTTGACTGCTCCTTTTGGTCCAAATTTCTAAGATTTAGAAACCAGTTCCTATTTTTAGTGAAGAATACTAAATACATTATATGTTTATATTAGGTCCTAGAAAAGTTATAAAACTTGAAATTGATTTCATAAGAAAAAGGTAAATAGAAATTCTCACAGCTTTGGAGATAATTTTAGACTCTAATGAGCAAGTCAGAAGAAATTCTAACTTGGCATTAAAGTAGAAATTCTTTTTTTTTTTTTTTTTTGAGACAGAGTCTTGCTCTGTCGCCCAGGCTGGAGTGCAGCAGTGCGATCTCAGCTCACCGCAACCTCTGCCTCTTGGGTTCAAGCTGGGATTACAGATGTGTGCCATCATGCCCAGCGAATTTTTGTATTTTTAGTAGAGTGGGGTTTCACCGTGTTGGCCAGGCCGGTCTTGAACTCCTGACCTCAAGTGATCTGCCTGCCTTGGTCTCCCAAAGTGCTGGGATTACAGATGTGAGCCACTGCACCTGGCCAAAGTAGAAGTTCTTGACAGATTATTATTCGCACAATAGACATGATGAGAAAAAGCCCGTTTCCGCAGTAGTTTGAGACAGCAAATAGTAGCATGGATATTCATTATTCCTTGTGTAAAAAAGTTTCTGAAATACTCAGTTCTAAGTTTTTTTTTTAAATCTATTTATTTATTTTGAGACAGTGTTATGAGACTGGCTAATTTTTGTATTTTTGGTAGAGACGGGATTTCACCATGTTGGCAAGGCAGGTCTCAAACTCCTCAGTTAAAGCGATCTGCCTGCCTTGGCCTCCCAAAGTGCTGGGATTACAGGTGCGAGCCACTGTGCCCGGCCTCCAGTTAAATTTTTTTATGCCCGTCAAAAACGCCCTTTGCGGAGCTTGCAGTGAGCCAAGATTGCGCCACTGCACTCCAGCCTGGGTGACAGAGCGAGACTCCATCTCAAAAAAAAAAAAAAAAAAAACAAAACGCCCTTTGAATCTCATTTCAGACATGACCCACTGCTCCAGGCCTAGCACATGTTTCAGTTGATTGTTTATTTCAGTATTAGATATTTGGGCCAAGGTTATTTGAGTTTTACTTGGGAAACCTACAGATTATATTACAAGGAAGGTTATTAAAATCCAAAATCTAGGCAGGCTAGTCTTTAATGTTCAGCCTTCCTCTTATACTAAAAAAAAAACTAGAAATGGGCTGGGCACAGTGGCTCAGTGCCTGTAATCCCAGCACTTTGGGAGGCCGAGGTGAGGAGATCGCTTGAGCTCAGGAGTTTGAGATCAGCCTGGGCAACATGGCAAAACCCTGTCTCTACCAGAAAAAAAAAAAAAAAAAAAAAAAAAGAAAAAAACAGAAAATTAGCCGGGCATGGTGGTATGCACCTGTGGCCCCAGGTATTCAAGAGGCTGAGGTGGGAGGATCTCTTGAGTGAAGGAGGCAGAGGTTGCAGTGAGCCGAGATCTAGCCACCGCACTCCAGTCTGGGTGACAGAGTGAGACCCCAACTCAAACAAAAACTAGAAATGGATGGTTCTGTCAGAGAAAGAGGGTAGAACTACAAGGTGCAGCCTTCCTAGTTAGAGAAAGTGAAGAATGTAAGTTTGAGAAAGCAGTTTGGAGAATCAATATTCCTTTCCGCCCCATCCCCAAGTGATGGGGGAGATACCCAGGAGACCCTCCATTCCCGCCATGGGAGGGAAATAGATTCCTCTGAGTAGCCTGAAAGATGGTTAACTTGGGGAACCTCTCCTTGAGAATTTCAAGTAGTTTCTAGAGATCCAGAAGTGAAAGACTGGCCCTGCGATGAATAGGACTCACATTTTCAGGTAATGCAGCTCTGGGAATGTGGCACTAGGCATCCAGGGCTGCAGGTGACGTGCTGCCTGTGCACCCAAGAGCAGCTTCTCATGCCACCAGCATTAGAAATTTGGGGGCAATAAAATAGCCTGGGTATGAGACAGACCTCATTAGGCCAAGCCCATGAAGTAATATTTATATGGAGTGGCATACTTTTTTTTTTTTTTTTTAAATAATATATCTTAGGGAAGTTAAAGCTTATTTGCAGTCCTAAAGGAATTTTGCTATGTAGATATTTCTTAGGAAAAATCACCTAAAGAAGTTTTTAACTGCTTCTTATGGAATACTATTTTATAAAAAGCTTTCAAAGTACATTTCATGTACTAGTTCATTAAATCTTTTTGTTTTTTGAGACAAGGTCTCACTCTGTTGCCCAGGCTGGAGTGCAGTGGCACAATCTCTGCTCCCTGCAGCCTCCACCTCCAGGGTTCAGGTGATTCTCGTGCCTCAGCCACCTGAATAGCTGGGATTACAGGTGCATGCCACCACACCCGACTATGTATTTCTGGTAGAGACAGGGTTTCACCATGTTGGCCAAACTGGTCACAAACTCTTGGCCTCATGTGATCCTCCTGCCTCGGCCTCCCAAAGTGCTGGTATTACAGGCATGAGCTATCGCATCTGGCCTAGTTCATCAAATCTTAGTATCTGGTTTGAGTGATTCTTTCAACAGACCACTCAGTTTTTCCTCGCTAGAGTCTAGATGGATTGTTTTGAACATCTATTTTGGCTTCTCTTCACACTGCCTGCTTTTTAAAGTTGTTTTTTTAGAAATATTTGGAATTAACCAAATATAGAGGCTATTTAACAGTGTCCTTCTACATTTTTATAATACTGTGTCTGATATAACTCTTGTGTCCTATTTAGCTTCCCTGACTGTCTGTCTTTTTAGGTGACTGTCCTGGAAGCCAAAGACAGAATTGGAGGCCGAGTCTGGGATGATAAATCTTTTAAAGGCGTCACAGTGGGAAGAGGAGCTCAGATTGTCAATGGGTGTATTAACAACCCAGTAGCATTAATGTGTGAACAAGTGAGTTTCTTTTAGCTTTGTGTTGTAGATAAAGGAAAGAAAAACAGTTTCAATTTGCTTGTGTGCAGTATTAATATGCTTCTAAAGTAAATTACATATAACAGCCCCCTCATCTCCTATGCAAAGCAGTAAGAATTACACTTCTGCCTTTCTGAGAAGGTAGAACTAGAGGATGTAAAATACTTTTTTTCCTTTTTCTAAGCTATTTAATTTTATTTCCTTGTTCTTTGCAGGCCACTTGGTTATCTCATAATTTTAGAGTTGCCAGATTTAGCATATAAAAATCCAGAATTCTCAATTAAATTTCATTTTCAGATAAACAAGTAATTTTTTACCCAAGTATTTCCCAGTATTACATGGGATATTTTACATGCAATATTTGGGACATACTTATACTTAAAAAAATTATGTATTACTAATCTGAACATCATATTTAAGGAGGCAGCCTGTCTTTAATCTGGCAGTCATAGAGAGTTTATTTGAAGAGTTGGTAGGCCCAAGACTTTTTCTGAAATGTTTATTGATGGTCAATTCAATTTCAACTTCTGCTATGAGTGTTTGTGTGTTTGTGTGTTCATTTACATGAGGGTCCACAGAGGAGACAGAATGTTTGAGCAAGGACAGGCAGTGTCTAGCATCTGAAACATTAGCCAAAAAGTTACAATGGGCATGGCGTAGGAGCTGTTGCTGCCCCTCTCACATTCTCATCAAATAAAATCTTGTAGATTTCATGCTGTTTTTTTTCACTGCCTGACTTTGCTGCCATTCCCCGTGAAGCATATTTAGCTTTATTTTTGAGAGATATGAGACCATTTTCTCCATGAGAGCTCTGTCTGATTTTCAGCTTAGAACCTGTAAATATTTTTTTCCAGGGAAAATTTTCACCTTCTTATTCTTATTATTTTGAAGCTTGGCATCAGCATGCATAAATTTGGAGAAAGATGTGACTTAATTCAGGAAGGTGGAAGAATAACTGACCCCACTATTGACAAGCGCATGGATTTTCATTTTAATGCTCTCTTGGATGTTGTCTCTGAGTGGAGAAAGGATAAGACTCAGCTCCAAGATGTCCCTTTAGGAGGTATGGGGAGAACGGTGTTCTGATTGTTCCATCTCAGTTTCGTTGTTACCTAAGCTTCATCAGCAGTGGCATTGTTCATTTGCGAGGTCGGATGTCGGCAACAGGGTAGCCCTCCTGAGCATTTCTTTTGGACTGATGGATTCTCCAAGTTCTCAGGGGAGGAGAACTTTTTGTAGGGAGGCTTAGATGCTTGTGTTGTGTACACACACACACACAGACCTTACTTTACACAATAGCTGGTGTTTTACAAAATTACCTACGTGTTTAATTTTAAATTTCCCAGAGTAGCTTACTTTTATGGGAACATGTGGTAAGCCCTGTGTGATAAATCATCACCCTGTAATGTCTTTTCTAGGTAAGGGTTTGTGTGTGCCAGGATTTCTTTTTGTTGAGCAGTGAGTTAAGGTTTTTTCCAGTATATTTTAAGAATGCAAGAGTATTACAGTTTAAGAATTTTAACCCATTAGGCACAGTGGCTCACACCTGTAATCCGAACATTTGGGAGGTCAAGCGGGGAAGATCACTTGAGTCCAGGAGTTCAAGACCAGCCTGGGCAACATAGTGAGCCTTGTGTCTACAAAAAAAAAGGGCGGGGGGCAAGCATGGTGGTGTGTGTCTGTAGTCCCAGCTACTCGGGAGGCTGAGGTGGAAGGATAGCTTTGAGCTGAGGAGGTTAAGGTTCCAGTGAGCTATGATCCCACCACTGCACTCCAGCCTGGGCAATGAAGCAAGACCCTATTTCAAAAAAAAAAGGAATTTTAATTCAAAATCTTTTGGCTTTTGTACTTAAATGGGCAATATTAGCCACAACTATTTAGAAAACTTGACCATCCATAGTGGCTCATTTTCACGAGGGTGCCAGCTTAAATTTTACTGTATTGCTTCTTAAATTGATATTTATTTGGCCTACAATTTTGTGACCTGAATGTATTCACTTGTAGTTCTTGGAGGCATGTTGGAGTTTCTTGTAGTGTGAACATTGGAACTCAGTTTGCAAGGTGTTAATTTGCTTCAACTGTATGTTTCTTTGCAAGAGCTCTCAATTCTTCAGGCTGATATACAGTTCATCTCTGTTTGGGGTAAACTTCTTAGTAGCAGGGACTATGTATCTCTTCTTTTTCTCTTTTCCCTTCCCCTCTCCTGTGGCAACCCACCACCTCTAGGAGACCTATGCTGTAATCGTCCTTAGTAAGTTTTGACTGATATACTACAAGAGAACATTTTCAGAAATATACTCTCGTCAACAGGGATCATTTAATCAAATGTTGTAGTGTCCAGACTAATTCGTAAGTTGTTAAATTTCCTGGAGTTGAGAACAGTTATTAGGCTGACGTGCAGGATATTCTCAGGACTTGGTTAGTGTTTTGTACCTGTGTTGCAGTCACTGGCTGGAGTTTTCATTACATGTCTTTCAGAGTCACCATATAAAAATGTTTAATGATAATGCTTTGCCTTACCCTTACCTAGAACAAGCTGTAGGCCAGGCATGATGGTGTGTGCCTGTAGTCCCAGCTACTCAGGAGGTGAGAGGATCGCTTAAGTCCAGGAGTTAGAGACTGTGGTGAGCTGTGATCTCGCCACTGCACCTCAGCTTGGGTGACATAGTGAGACACTGTCTCACAAACAAAACAAATAAAAAACCCAAGTTGTTAAGGTAGGCTCAGCAATTCTTACTGTGTAAGTGGGTATTTCATCTTATCAATAGCTTGTTTAAAAGCTTTGATAGTAGTGCACACATCTCTGTGTAAGGCTATAGTTATATCCTGCCTGTTGGTATCTTAGCTGTCTGAGATCTCATCTTACCAGCACAAAGCTGGGGAAACTCAAATCTAAATACTAAGGGACTAGATTTCATTTCAGAAAGCATGTGCACTAAAGCTGTTTTAAATATTATTTACATAAAAATCACACTGTGCTGGGCGCGGTGGCTAACGCCTGTAATCTCAGCACTTTGGGAGGCCAAGGCGGGTGGATCACCTGAGTTCAGGAGTTCGAGACCAGCCTGGCTAACATGGTGAAACCCTGTCTCTACTAATAATACAAAAATTAGTCGAGCATGGTGGTGCATGCCTGTAATCCCAGGTATTTGGGATGCTGAGGCAGGAGAATCACTTGAACCTGGGAGGCAGAGGTTGCAGTGAGACAAGATCAGGCCATTGCACTTCAGTCTTGATGACAAGCGAAACTCCGTCTCCAAAAAAAAAAAAAAAAAATCACATTGAGGCCTCTCTCAGTCTGTTTATACACTATCTTAGCAATCTTGGTTTTTCTCCCCGCCGCCTCCACAAAACCAACAGGAATGTAGAAACTGCACAGCAGGAAGCGGGGATGGGACTTCTACAAAAGTCACAGAAAGTGGCACAAAGCCCAGGGGTCTAGGAGCAACAAAGACAGGCACAAATCTGGAGGCCTCTTGGGCATCCGCATGTTACAATCTAGTGCAAGAACTGAACATTTTGATGAAAGCCTTGAGCTGTTCTAAAAAAAAAAATATTTGAAGTAACTGATACTCAGTTCTGCTTCTAGTCAGAGAAGTGTGTGACACTCTGTTAAACTTGGGATTACACCTGTAATCCCAGCACTTCGGGAGGCTGAGGTGGGTAGATTTCTTGAGCTCAGGAGTTTGAGACCAGCCTGGGCAACATGGTGAAACCCATCTCTACTAAAAATTCAAAAATTAGCTGGGCATAGAGGCGGGCGCCTGTAGTCCCAGCTACTTGGGAGGCCGATTGCTGGAGCCCCGGAAGTTGAGGCTGCAGTGAGTCGGAATGGCACCACAGCACTCCAGCCTGGGTGACATGGTGAGACCCTATCTCAGGAAAAAAAAGAAAAAGAAAACACCACCAGAAAAAGAAACGTGGAGTCTGTGATACATGTTTTGGATGGTTGTCATCACTGGAACAGTTGTAAAGAAGTAACCTGTACTGAGATGCTTAGAATTAGTCAGACATCAAGCCAGAACCCTCTTCCAGCCCTGCTATAAAGGAATGTAAGACAAAAATGATATCACAGGGCTGTGTCCATATAGTTACAAGGTCCGGTTGAGTGGGACAGATAAGTAAGGGCTGGAGTTGATGACAGGGAGAAATTCTGGGGGCTTGCCACGGCCCGGTGATGCCCGACTATAAAGAATGGATGGGATTGGGTGGGAGAAGGCATTCCCATGAGGGAGAGTGGGAGGTCGCAGACCCTGCAGGGTAGGAATTTACCAGGAAAAAGATTCAAAGCATTACAGCAGAGCCTGCGAGTGGGCAGATCGTAGCTGCTGCCTTTGGAAAGATTAAAATGTGCTAGCTTTGCCTGGCTGTGGTTGGGGAATTTATTACATAGGCAACCAGTAATTGTAGATATGGAGGCGGAGTGCTGACAAGATACAAGCCCATAATGGAATATTCTTGTTTGGGACAGACTGTAGCCAATAGGTTACAGGTCTCTTAGTTGAGGTGAGATGTTGTAAGCATTGACTTTAAGGTGATGGCAGCAGGACCAGAAAGAGAATGGTAACTTCTGTGTGTGTGCATGTACATCTATGTGTGGGGACAGTTTTTCTGTATCTTGAGCAAAAGAGGAAACCACTTCTCAACGAAGCGAAATTGAGACGTTTCTGAAGATATAGAACTTACATAGCTTTGTTTCCGGTTGTGCACATGTACCCTAAAACTTAAAGTATAATAATAATAAAATTAAAAAAAAAGATAAACTTTCTCTTCCTGAGAGAAATGGACCTTATCAAGAGATCTTTTCCCCTCTGACTTTACTTGGGAAAAGACTTTGGAAGTTTTGGGTGTTGCTGGGTGACAGAGGTTGAAAGCAAAGGAGAAAGAATTGGAGAATCTTGTTAAAGCTATTTTTTTCTGCTTTGATCCATTCCCATTACAGAAAAGATAGAAGAAATCTACAAGGCATTTATTAAGGAATCTGGTATCCAATTCAGTGAGCTGGAGGGACAGGTGCTTCAGTTCCATCTCAGTAACCTGGAGTACGCCTGTGGCAGCAACCTTCACCAGGTGCGCTTGGGTTTTGTGAAAGGTGTGCTTTGAAAATACTTGGTTTAGGCCGGGCGCAGTGGCTCACGCCTGTAATCCCAGCACTTTGGGAGGCCGAGGTGGGCAGATCATGAGGTCAGGAGATCGAGACCATCCTGGCCAACATGGTGAAACCCTGTCTCTACTAAAATACAAAAAATTAGCCAGGCCTGGTGGCGCATACCTGTAGTCCCAGCTACTCGGGAGGCTGAGGCAGGGGAATCGCTTGAACCTGGGAGGCGGAAGTCGTAGTGAGCTGGGATCGCGCCACTGCACTCCAGCCTGGAGTCTCAAAATAAATAAATAAATAAAATACTTGTTTTTGTGTATGTGTGTGTGTGTTTTGTGTGTCTAAATATTGAATTTGAGCTGGTTTCGATAAACAGGAAAGAATGATTCTCCTTAAAAGTTTGAAAACCATGACTTCTGAGCATATTAACCCCACAGTGGTTTTGGTTGTTTTTTAAACTTTTTTTTTTTTTTTAAGCAAGAGAAACTCTTCTTCAGATAATGCTTGTGAAAGAAGCTCAATACGTAAAAACAAAGGAAGAGGCTGGGTGCAGTGGCTCCCTTCTGTAATCCCAGCACTTTGAGAGGCCAAGACAGGCGGATTGTTTGAGCCCAGGAGTTCAAGACCATCCTGGGCAACATGGCAAAATCCTGTCTCTACAAAACATACAAAAAATTAGCTGGGCTTAGTGGCATGTGCCTGTAGTCCCAGCTAAGTGGGAGGCTGAGGTGGGAGGATTGCTTGATCCCAGGAGTTCAAAGCTGCAGTTAGCTGTGATGGTGCTACCACACTGCTGCCTGGGCGATAGAGTGAGACCCTGTCTAGGGGGAGAAAAAAGAAATCAATCACTCCAAAGGAAGGAGGGCTATTGGGCTGAATCAGATCAGGGTCTCTTATGTTTTTCTTATTTTTTGTAGAGATGGGGTCTTGCCATGTTGCCTAGTCTGGTCTTGAACTCCTGGTCTCAAGTGATCCTCCTGCCTCGGCCTCCCAAAATGCTGGAATTACAGGCATGAGCCACTGCACCAGGACTTGTCTCTTTACCGTCCTTTCCCTGCCCTCTGCAGAGGGCCTTGGGTCATTTCTGTGGAACCGTGGAGTCGGAAACACTGCTCTCGAGAAGCCAAAATAGAGTATCCTTGCAAGTCTGGTCTGTTTACCTTGTTAAAGTAAATTTAAGCTTGCCTAACTCATTTAACCAACTGTGAACTTAATACCCCAGTATTCTGTATTTTGAATAGAACTCCACGGATGATTTCAGAGGCCCCTTTGGGACCTCTCCATTTCCACTTGGTTCTGCATTGTGATTGGAGTCATGCTATTTTCCAAAATCGTGCAGGGTTTCTATTCTGTAGAGCTTCCATGTTGAGGACAGATAGCATATTTATATATGTTGATCAAATACAGTTTTACCCTCATAGAATTCTACTTTGCCAGAGTTGTCAATATAGAAAATCAGCTTCTATTTTTATCAAGGAGTGGTACCCATGTCCAAGTCATATGGACCTTTTGTTCTCAAATAAACTTTCCTCAAATAAAATTATCGAGATTTCCTCCCCCAGTGGTGGTCTCTGCCTAGGCTGGTCTGCCTGTCCCCTGCCCTCCTGCCTTGGTGGCTGTTCCCACCTGGAGCTCCTCATATTGGCTCTCAGGCACAGGCACAAGGATTTACACTGCTGTGTCCCCAACCTCTCTTGTTTCCCAGGTATCTGCTCGCTCGTGGGACCACAATGAATTCTTTGCCCAGTTTGCTGGTGACCACACTCTGCTAACTCCCGGGTACTCGGTGATAATTGAAAAACTGGCAGAAGGGCTTGACATTCAACTCAAATCTCCAGTGAGTATCAACTGCTGGGAGGCTCTGGCTCGCCTTGTTTGGGGAGGATGTGAAGTTCTGGGCATGCGGCTCACGCAGGAGAATGGGGCTGGCTTTGGTGTTTAGCCAGGGTCTAGAAGTACTTTTGTGGCTCATTCGTAGCCTGTGTAGCATTATCCATGTCAGTGAGGCAGCTGCTGCTGCTTGGAAACCGTAGTGGCCCCAGTGCATTTCTATTAAGAAGAAGGTATTCAAATTGCTTCGCAACTTTCCTAACCCAGTGCAGTTATTTTCACTTTAAAATTTTCCCTTCAAATCTTTGTCTCAGTGCATTTGTATTGTGTGTTATTGTAATCATGGGGGTGATTACTTAACTGTATTTCCCTTCACACCATATTATAACTATCTTCTATATTCCGACACAATGTTTATTTTGTATATTCTGACAGAGTATAAATTCTAACTCCCTCAGTTCAGCTATAACAATTGTTTAGATCTCTGAATGCCAGGAAAAGATTCCCCTTAGCCTTGGAGATGTAAATTCATGTAATATGAGAATCGGAAAGGATCCTGGATCACGTGGTTCCATCCCTCACTTTTTTTCATAATTGCTTTTTGAGCAGGTGCAGTGTATTGATTATTCTGGAGATGAAGTGCAGGTTACCACTACAGATGGCACAGGGTATTCTGCACAAAAGGTAAGAGCTAGGGCAGTACAAGGGTGGGTAGAAACCTTTGCTGCCAGGGGCTTGGAGGGAAGGACAAATCTTTCCTATCAAGGAGTTTGCCTTTGGGAATCTGCCTGGACCCTTGTTGGATTTCTGGTAAGTTATGTATCTCTACTTAATTGTATGTAGATATGCAAAGCTGATTTCATTGCTCTAACACTGTATAGACTCATGGCAGATGGAATTCTGAATTGTGTTCCTTGAGGTGAGTTCTAGGGCACATTAGTCCTGAGAGTTGAACAAGAAAAAAAATTCCTTGGCCAAATAAGTTAGGCAAGGCCAAGTAAGTTTGGGAAGTATTGTATACGATACTCTACTTTTAGGATTAAATAGGAGTTGTATAGGGTTAAATAGAAGTATGTGTATGTATATATATATATATATATATATATTTTTTTTTTTTTTTTTTTTTTTTTTTTTTTTTTTGAGATGGAGTCTCGTGCTGTCACCCAGGCTGGAGTGCAGTGGCGCAAACTCGGCTCACTGCAAGCTCCGCCTCCCGGGTTCACGCCATTCTCCTGCCTCAACCTCCCAAGTAGCTGGGACTACAGGCACCCGCCATCACGCCTGGCTAATTTTTTTTTTTTTTTGTATTTTTTAGTAGAGATGGGGTTTCACCCTGTTAGCCAGGATGGTCTCGATCTCCTGACCTCATGATCCGCCCGCCTCGGCCTCCCAAAGTGCTGGGGTAACAGGCGTGAGCCACTGTGCTCCGCCCAAATAGAAGTATATTAAAGGCTCTGAGAAGTCCTGCATTAAAGAAATCTATTTTACTTTTATTCTGTGCTCTCCACATTTTTTTAAACCACGGAATCCTTCTTCAGATCAGGAAAGTTCTGTTTTCATCTTGAAATCTTGAAACTATCAGAAGTACTTTCATATGGCTTAAATTTTTTGTAAACAGCTTTATAGTAGGTGAACAGTACAAGGTACTGCTGAATCAAATACCTGAAATCACACTGAGATTTATAGTATTGGAGAATAAAGGTGCCTCCTTGGGGTAGAGGGGATTTAGTAAACCTTGAAAATTTAAGTTTAGTTATATCTTAAGTGACTATGAAAAAATATAATTGATGAACTATCACTAGTTCCTAGACTAGCTATGCTTCCTACACTTCAGGTATCTAAAACTTATTTCATAGTCCTTGATTTTCATACAGAAGTAAAGGACTGCATGTCACATGGGAAAGACAGGTCTAGGGAATGAGTTAGTCGGGGCAGGGGATCCTAACATTATTCCTGCCATTAACCAACTCGGAGATCTTGGGCAGCAATCCCCGGGCTGCACGTCGGAACCACCTGGGAGGCGCTTACAAAGAAAGGCTGGAAAGCCCCACCCTGATGCGTTCTTGTTGAATTGGCCTCGCTTTTTTGTTTGTTTTTTTCAGAGACAGGGTCTCAGTCTGTCGCCCAGGCTGGAGTGCAGTGGCACAGTCATAGCTCACTGTAGCCTCGAGCAACTGGGTTCAAGGGATCCTCTCACCTGAGCCTCCCTCGAGTAGCTGGGATTACAGGCATGCACCACCATGCCCGGCTAGTCATGTTTTTAAAGCTTCTCAAGTGATTCCAGTGTGCAGCCGTGGTTGAGAACCTTGTCTGCAGTGACCTTTTCTGTAAGCTCTTAATAGGTTTTGCCTGGTGGTAAACAGTGTTTAAAAATACTACCTTTTAAAATTGCAAGTCACCCGACAGTTCAGCCTCTGCTGTTCTGTAGCTCCACTTCTTGGTGTCCAGGACAGCAAGCTGGTTTTAACTCCCCTGCTTTGTTACTCTCTGCCTGACCCTGGCCAGTACTTGTGCGTTTCTGTGTTTGTATTCCAGCCTTCTGGAGAAATTAGGGCACAGCTTCAGGCTGCACTTTGAAATGTTTAAAACAAATATTTTTATTGTAGCTAGCACGCACCACAGTTTGCATTGGAAGTTTCCCCAAACTTGTAAGAGAATAATTTTCAACCCAACGTGATAGACCGATGAACCTCCAGCAGACTAACTCAGTCTAGGCTGCTTCCATTGACATCTCGCTTTTATTACTTACTAGGATGTGTTTATATCATTTGCCTATTTGTTTACCCAAGGCTTTTCTTTCTTTTTTTTCTCTTTCTTTTCTTTTTTTTTTTTTTTTTTTTTTTTTTTTTTGTTTTACAGGGTCTTATTCTGTTGCCCAAGCTGGAGTGCAGTGGTGCAGCTTGTAGCTCACAGCAGCCTCGAACTCCTGGGCTTGAGCAGTGCTCCCACCTCAGCCTCCTGTGTAACTGGGACCACAAGCACATGCCACCACACTCAGCTAATTAAAAATTTTTTTTTTGTAGAGACAGTGTTTCCCTATGTTGTCCAGGCTGGTCTTGAACTCGTGGTCTTAAGCAATCCTCTTGCCTCAGCCTCCCAAAATGCTGGGATTATAGGTGTGAGCCACTGCACCTGGGCTACTCAAGTTCTTATGCTTTTCAGTGCTATTTTGTCATTAAGAAAACATCTAGATTTGTGGGCGTGGGTGGCTCATGCCTGTAATCACAGCACTTCGGGAGGCTGAGGCGAGAAGATGGCTTGAGGCCAGGAGTTTGAGACCAGCCTGGGCAACATGGTGAGACCCTGTCTCTACCAAACATAAAAAAATTATCTGGGCATCGTGCTGCACACCCATGGTCCCAGCTACTACAAGAAGCTGAGGCAAGAGGATCACTTGAGCACAGGAGTTTGAGGCTGCTGTGAGCTGTGATCATGCCACTGCACTCCAGCCGGGGCAACAGAGCAAGACCCTGTCTCTTTAAAGGGGAAAAAAATCTAGATTTTATTTATTTTCTTGCAATTTAATTGGATAGTAATTGGTTTTTTGTTGTGGTTTGCCTCATTTTTTTTGGTTGCATGGTAATTATCTATAAATAGATTATAAACTTCTTGATGATAGAGAGCATATTTTATACTTTATAAAAATATTTTCATGTGGCAGAAAATAGTGACAAAATCAGAGAACTCTGAACTTCCTGTGATCCTAGAATTGAGAGTTAAGCCAAATATACAAAATCTTTGAAGCCTCAGGTAGATTGGGTGCTTGGTCTTCAACTCCATTCCACTCTGATCCTAGGGTGTCATCCTGTACTGCAGATATTAGAAAGCAAATACACACACTCTTCCCCAACTCCCTACAGCAGGTTTCTAAACATCCATCCAGCCCAGCCAATCTGATGCACTTGCATGAGATGTAGAAGGTGTAGGTTGACTTTCGCTTCCCTTCTGCTGCCTCTGTTGAGAGCACACAATGCTGGAGGTGTTTGGTTCTTCTGCAGCAGGGTTCGTGAAAGTTGCAGGGTTTAGTCAGTAACCACAAGTCAAGAAGGAGGCCGTAAGGCATGCATGTTGCTGGTGCACGTGGTTCTGTATGTGGCATGATTCTGGAGCTGGCAGTAGTAGTAATGGCGTCCTGATTGTAGCAACGATAATGGGGTCTGGAGCCAGAAATGTCCAATTCCCAATGTTTGTGATGTGTTTCACTACTTATGAAGCATATTGATGTATCTTGTAAATTTTAGTTTTAAAGCATCACCCTGATTCTCAGAGGTTAGTGGGGCAGATACTACCTTCATTTTATAGATGTATGGCAGAGATGAGTGGCAGGCTTGGCCACACAGTAGAATGTATTAGGAATGATGCATAAAGTTCTCCTGACTCCATAGTTAGGGCTCTTTCCTCCTCAAGTACTGCTTTTCGGGGTTTTGTTTTTTTTTTTTTTTTGAGACAGTCTCGCTCTGTTGCCCAGGCTGGAGTGTAGTGGCGTGATCTCGGCTCACTGCAAACTCCGCCTTCCAGGTTCAAGAGATTCTCCTGCCTCAGCTTCCCAAGTATCTGGCACTACAGGCACCTGCCACCACACCTGGCTAATTTTTGTATTTTTGTAGAGACAGGGTTTCACCATGTTGGCCAGGCTGGTCTTGAACTCCTGACCTCAGGTGATCCACCCGCCTCGGCCTCTCAAAGTGCTGGGATTACAGGCATGAGCCACCGCACCTGGCCTCTGCTGACTCTTCTTATCTAAGATGATTATTCACCATCAGGACGTTTTTTGCCCACTCTTCCCTGTGGTTGCCACTTCTGCTTAGCCAGGCATTGGCACCCTTGTGCAGTGAGCAACCTGCACAGTTGCACATGGCAGCCCTTGTTCTTGCCAGTATAACAGCATGGGTTGTTGATACCAGTGTAGTGGTAGTGTGAGGTTCTGTTGCTGTTTGTTTGTTAACTGTTAATTATTTTCCACAGGTATTAGTCACTGTACCACTGGCTTTACTACAGAAAGGTGCCATTCAGTTTAATCCACCGTTGTCAGAGAAGAAGATGAAGGCTATCAACAGCTTAGGCGCAGGCATCATTGAAAAGGTGACTGAAATGACCTCATCCTCAGCAAGAAAGAGATTAATGTCAGATGATAGATGTTAACTTCTGATATGGAGAAGTAGTGGGTACTATCTAAATACAAATAAAACTCAAGGATTTCCTTTTCATTTGAGTAATTGTTCGTGAAGAACACAGAAGAATATTATCAAAACGAAAGGAGGAGAGCTGGCTGAGGTCTGTGAGTTTTGACTTTAGGAGAAAGAATCTTGTTATTCACAATTTGAATTTGGTATAAGCAATTCTTTTATCCCCTTTTTTCCCCCCTTCTGCTTTCTTTCTTGTCTGCTTTCCACTCATTGGCCCCAGTGAGGACAGAGGTTTATTTCTCCTGCCTTTAATATCTCCTGTAGCAGAATGGGCCAGTGCTGCAGCAGATTCTGACAGACCTATGAGTAGTGAGAGTTTAACTTAGGGACATACGCCCAGGAGTGAGTCTTAGGAATGCTGGGCATCTTCAGACTAGCTTCTAGGTTGCCAGTGGGTTCCATTATCCATGGGAATGGAACTGAGTGGCATCAAAAGCAAGGAGCTGGGCTGGGCACAGTGGCTCATGCCTGTAATCCCAGCACTTTGGAAGGCTGAGGAGGATGGATTACCTGAGGTCAGGAGTTCAAGACCAGCCTGACCAACATGGTGAAACCTCATCTCTACTAAAAATACAAAATTCGCTGGGCGTGGTGGTGTGCACCTGTAATCCCAGCTACTTGGGATGCTGAGGCAGGAGAATCACTCGAAACCGGAAAGTGGAGGCTGCAGTGAGCCAAGATCGCTCCATTGCACTCCCAGCTGGGCAACAAGAGCGAAACTCCGTCTCAAAAAAAAAAAAAACCCAAAAAACAAAACAAAACAAAAAACAACCAAGGAGTTCACAGGGGGAAAAAAGGAGGTGAGGAGAATGGAAAGAGCGGTATTTGGGGTTGTTCTTTCGGGCAGTGTCTTTGTTTTAGAGTAGAGCTACAGGTTGCTGCTTAGATATTGCCTGTGGTTTTGTGACGACAGACACCTAACCACCTTTCTTCTGCTCACTTTGCAGATTGCCTTGCAATTTCCGTATAGATTTTGGGACAGTAAAGTACAAGGGGCTGACTTTTTTGGTCACGTTCCTCCCAGTGCCAGCAAGCGAGGGCTTTTTGCCGTGTTCTATGACATGGATCCCCAGGTAAAATCATTCGTGAACTGTGGTTTGAATTTCCGTCTTAAAGTTTAGAATTTGATGTGATAATTACTCACCTATCAAGCTCAGGAACTAACGAACATCATGGAGACCCTGGGTCTATGTTTATATTCTGGGAGGACACTTGGACTGGACATTTTCCTATAGGAAAGGAGCCCCAGTATTTGCCATGTCTTCTTAAAGTCCTCATGTTGCTCCCTGGGACATGAATTGGATGCTTGTGGAAACTGTCATTTCAGGCTATGGGGGAATTCCTCTTAGGTGAAGTTGGAGACATCAGAGTCAATGAGTGGTGCTTGAAACTTCCTCTCTGAGGGTCCTCTAGGGAGCTGGGAAAGGGTGTATGATTGGTGAGGGAGGGTGTGAGTGTCAGCAGATGTGAGAGCTGAGGGAAGGAAGGAGAGAGGAGAATGGCATACCCAGAGCTGGACGGGGGTGGTCACTTTCTCTGCCGTCATGTCACTGCCACACGAAAGAATCATGGCTGTTTCTGACTTTCAGTTTCAAGAAACTTTGTCTTAAAAGGTTTCACATAGGAGCCGAGGGCAGATTTTCTTTACCATTTGAGGTTTTTTTATTTTTCATTGTTTTATCTGCAGATTTTCCTTCTCCATCTCTTTCTACTTCTTCCGAAGCAAGCTTTAATTAGTGAACAGCCAAGGGAACCTTAAAGTTGCTATTTACATTTCTTAGTGTTTTTCTTTTCCAGCAGGAAGCAATAGAGTGGATGGATGAATAATGAGTGTTTGCGAGGAAAATGGACTGGCGAGTGACGTGCGGATAAGGGACAGCCAGAAATAGTGACATTTAACTTGTGAGAGTGAGGCTCTTGGCCGGGTACAGTGGCTCACGCCTGTAATCCCAGCACTTTGGGAGGCCGAGGTGGGTGGATCACCTGAGGTCAGGAGTTTGAGACCAGTCTGGCCAACATGGTGAAACCCTGTCTCTACTAAAAATACAAAAGTTAGCCGGGCATGGTGGCAGACGCCTGTAATCCCAGCTACTCTGGAGGCTGAGGCAGGAGAATCACTTGAACCTGGGAGGCAGAGGTTGCAGTGAGCCAAGATTGCACCATTGCACTCCAGCCTGGGTGACAGAGCAAAACTCTGTCTCATTTAAAACAAAACAAAACAAAAAACAAAAAAAAGAGGCCCTTATCTGTGGGAGCTGAGCACTCACAGACCTCCTGCTTTTCCTTTCATGTCTCCAGAAGAAGCACAGCGTGCTGATGTCTGTGATTGCCGGGGAGGCTGTCGCATCCGTGAGGACCCTGGATGACAAACAGGTGCTGCAGCAGTGCATGGCCACGCTCCGGGAGCTGTTCAAGGAGCAGGTGAGAGAGAGGAAGCCCTCCTTGAAAGGGGCAAGCCGTGCTTGCTATCCAGAGCAGGTGTGAAGCCCAAGCAGCCAGCGTCACTGAGAATCACAGGAAGGAAGGCAGAGGCCACAGTCTTCTTTCTTTCAGAGTCCCACTGCCCACCTCAGCACTGAGATTAGTCTGTGAGGGCTGTCATCACAGAGTACCGCAGACTGGCTGCCTTAGACAACAGAAACTTATTCCTCACAGTTCTGGAGGCTGGAAGCCTGAGATCGAGGTGTCGGCAGGGTTGGTTTCTCCTGGGTCCTCTCTGTTTGGCTGGTAGATGCTGTCTTCTCCCTGTGTCCTCACATGGGCTTCCCTCTGTGTGTGTCTGTGTCCTCATCTCCTCTTCTTATGAGGACACAAATCAGATTAGATTAAGGCTCACCCCGGCGACCTCACTTTAAAGTAATTACCCATTGGAGACCATGCGACGAAATACAGTCACATTCTGAGGCACTGAGGGTTAGGGTGTCCACATGGGAATTTGAGGGAGACACGGTTCTGCCTGTAACAGTGCCCTGTACCTTTTTTTACACAATTGTCTTCCTTCCTTTTTTTCTTCTCACATCATACACACTTCCCTTTTTTTTTTTTTTTGTAAGGATATAAAAGGCTCGGTATTTTCTACGTGGATTCTATATTTACTGAAGCCCTAGAAGCTTTGACTACAGCTTTCCTTTTAAGAGGAGCCTTGGCCAGCTTTTTTTAATATCGCACACATGCAGATAGTCTCTTTTCTCCACGGAGCTCAGGATACTTTGTTTGCCAGTGTACTAAATCTCACCATCTCTGGAGATTTGTAAATGGCCATGGCTTATATCTTTTTGAAATAAAGGAGCAGAAATAGAAGTGAAATGACTCAAAAGTTATGTAAGTTAAAGAGAAAGGGGCATTCAGATATGTTGCTTATTTTATTTCATTTTAATTTATTTATTTTTGAGACAGAGTCTCACTCTTTCGCCCAGGCTGGAGTGCAGTGGCACAATCTTGGCTCACTGCAACCTCCACCTCCCGGGTTCAAGCGATTCTCCTGCCTCAGCCTCCCGAGTAGGCTGGGATTATGGGTGTGCTCCACCACACCCAGCTAATTTTTGTATTTTTGGTAGAGACAGGGTTTCACCATGTTTGCCTGGCTGGTCTTGAACTCCTGACCTCAAGTGATCCGCCTACCTCGGCCTCCTAAAGTGCTGGGATTACAGGTGTGAGCCACTGTATGGCCAGCCTTGTTGCTAATTTTATATGAGAGGATCTATCTAATGATGCAATCCCTTGCTTGGGGTTTTTGTTCAGAAGTTTGTTTTTTACATTAGTTGTTTGGAACTTAGCTTACCGTTTCTATAGAAATATTGTTTATCGTGTTGCTTGTTGGAGGCCAGCTGACAAATTACAGTCGCTCTCTCTTACTCGAGGCTTTGCTTTCATGGTTTCAGTTACTGTGGTCAACCAAGGTCTGAAAATATTTGATGGAAAATTCCAGAAATAGATTCATAAGTTTTCAGTCATGCACCGTTCTGAAGAGCGTGTCCAGTACCTCCACACTGTAGACATTGCCTGTCCATTAGTCACTCAGGAGTCATCTCTGTTATCAGAGCCATGTTCACATACCTTTTATTTCAGTATAGCGTTATAATTGTTCTATTTTATTATTGTCATTAATCTCTGTACCTAATGTATAAATGAAACTTTATCATAGGTATGAATAGGAAAAAACATAGTGTGTATAGTATTGGTCCTATCCATGGTTTCAGGCATCCCCTGCGGGTCATGGAACATATTCCTGGCGGGGAAGAGGGGACTGCTGTATTTTAAATTGAGTGAATGTGAAACATAACCTTGTATCACTGTTTTGTGGAGAACCCTGTTGAGAATTCCAACCTGTGATCCTGAGACTCCATCCTTCCCTTTTCTTCTTGGGCCAGAGACTCCTTTCTGCTACCACACGATGGAAAAGGGAAGGCCCGAACTCTTAGCCATGGGTGATAGCCCCCAGTAGAGGGAGAGTGTGTCCCGGGCAGAAGGAGGAGGTATAGAAGTGAGGGAATTGTGTGTGGGTGGGGCAGGAAAGAGAGGATAAGACACAAATACCGGCTTGGGTAGATTTAAAGGCAGCAGGAGGAACATCTTGAGAACTACTGTTTCAGAATGATACAGGAATAGACTCAGGTCCTAAACAGGGGGCAAAATGTATGAGTTGGGTTGTACCATGTCTATCTCCCTTCTTTTTTTTTTTTTTTTTTGAGATGGAGTCTGGCTCTGTTGCCCAGGCTGGAGTGCAGTGGCGCGATCTCGGCTCACTGCAAGCTCCGCCTCCTGGGTTCACGCCATTCTCCTGACTCAGCCTCCCGAGTAGCTGGGACTACAGGCGCCTGCCATCATGCCTGGCTAATTTTTCTATTTTTAGTAGAGATGGGGTTTCACCGTGTTAGCCAGGATCGTCTCGATCTCCTGACCTTGTGATCCACCCGCCTTAGCCTCCCAAAGTGCTGGGATGGGACTACAGGCATGAGTCACTGCGCCCTGCCATCTACATCCCTTCTTGATCCTACTTCATAATTCCTTTCTATTGGACATAGGAGGTCCCAGATCCCACAAAGTATTTTGTCACTCGGTGGAGCACAGACCCATGGATCCAGATGGCATACAGTTTTGTGAAGACAGGTGGAAGTGGGGAGGCCTACGATATCATTGCTGAAGACATTCAAGGAACCGTCTTTTTCGCTGGTGAGGTATGGATCTTGATTCCAAACCCAATTATTTGTATTTTGATTTCTGTCTTTCATCTAAAATGATATCTGCCCAGAGTTTAAAAACCAATTCAAATACTGTCAAAAGTCTTATGACCACAGACAGCAGAAGCCTTCTCACCATCCTCTTGCTCCCAGAGGCAGCCGTTTTTAACCTTCCAGCTATTCCTTCTGGACTTCACTTCATATTTTAAAAGTGTTTATATTGCCATCTCTCTTTCTTTTTTGTTTTTTTGAGACAGGGTCTCGCTCTGTGGCTCAGACTGGAGTGCAGTGGTACAGTCCTAGCTCACTGCAGCCTCAAACTCCCAGGCTCAGGTGACCCTCCCACCTCAGCTTCCCAAGTAGCTGGGACTGCAGGCATGTGCCACCAAGCCTGGCTAATTTTTTTTTTATTTTTTGTAGAGACGGGGTCCGCAGTGTTGCCCAGGCTGGCCTCAAACCCGTGGCCTTAAGCAGTCTTCCCACCTCAGCCTCCCAGAGTGTTAGGATTACAGGTGTGAGCCACCATGCCCAGCCTATGATGTCATCTTCTGATTTAACATTAGACAGACATTATTGACTGCCTCCCTATTGGGTTAAAGACTTAGCCCATTTAGTCTCTGCACCATTTGCTCAACATGGTTATTTCACACTTTTCATTAAATTGGTATTGGTATTTACATGGCTGTGTAAATGTCATTTACTGCTGAGCCAAGAAGGTGTCCACTGATACCTTCTTACACAGTTTTCTGTTTTCTTGGCAATTATAATGGCTCCTTTGGTCATTAGCTTAATTCCTTTGGTACCTCTCCCCATGTCTCCCATACCCTGGGTTTGTCTCTCATTTACAGTTGACACTGTCTGAGCTGGCCAGCTAGCTCCAGTCCTTGAAATGTCCCCTTCCTGAGTCCTCTTCCCTCTGCTCTGGTCCACACTGGTTGACCTCTGAGATTACTGCAGAGTGTCCTCCTGGGTCTCTCTAATTTAAATTTAATTTAATTTAATTATTTTATTTTAAATTTTATTTATTTTTTTGAGACGGAGTCTCTCTTTGTTGCCCATGCTGGAGTGCAGTGGCACGATCTCAGCTCACTGCAAGCTCTGCCTCCTGGGTTCACACCATTCTCCTGCCTCAGCCTCCCGAATAGCTGGGACCACAGGCGCCCGCCACCACGCCCGACTAATTTTTTGTATTTTTAGTAGAGACGGGGTTTCACCGTGTTAGCCAGGATGGTCTCCATCTCCTGACCTCGTGATCTGCCTGCCTCAGCCTCCCAAAGTGCTGGGATTACAGGTGTGAGCCACCGCGCCTGGCCTGGATCTCTTTTAAAATCACTCTCCAGCATTGGGCCTTTATTTCTAAGATCCGTCTCTTTCTTGATTTACTTCTGTTGAAAAATGTTTTGCTATTCTGATTTCTGATCCTTTTACTTCACTTTCTTATCTGCTAAAATAAAGATGAGTTTTTTCTCTTTCTTTCTAGAGATTCTGTTCCATATCTTGGAACTTTTGAATTGAGCATCTAATTTTTCCTCTTTACTATTATTCATCTCTTATGCTACTTTTGGGGGAGATTTTAAAATCGTCCAACTCTAATTGACTTTGAAATTTTTGGCTTTTACTTTATGAGCACTTTCTTGTTTGCAGAATGTTCCTTTTTTGTAGCATCCTCTTGTTACAACTTGTTTCTAAGGTTTTAAAGCTTTGGATGATTTTGCTTTTATGCTCCCTCCCTCCCTGGTTTCCTCAGTCTCAGAGTTCTTATTTTGTGTGCTGCAGTCTTTGCCTGCTACATGTCCAAATCCCCGATCCATCACCGTTGACTTAGATTCGAGCAAGGCATTTTTTTAAAAGCTTTGTGAAAGCTCCAGCAAGCTTATCAACCAGTGGCCGGATTCCCAAACATCACTATCTGGGAACAGTTAGTTTCCTGTGTGGTGGAAGCTCAGCCCCTGGCACTGTGGGCGCTGGAAGCTTCATTGTTAGTTATGAAGGCTTCATTTCACTTCATCCCCATTTTATTTGGTGCTTCGCCCTGATCTCTAAGTCACATCTCTGAGGAGTTGCAGCCGGTCAAGTGGGGAATGTGGTGAGGGATGTATTAATAATTGCTCTTTATAGTCTTTAAGCCAATCCTGTTTTCACCCCTTGCTAACCTCTGCCTCCATGGTTCCTCATACTTCCAATGGCTGAGATTTTCTAAGGATTCTCTGGGATGAATTGGTTTGCTTTTTGTTAAAACCCCTGCCCCCAACCCCAAACTTAAAATGAATTGTTACCACTCTTTCACCTGTGTTCCTACTTCGTTTAATATGGTTTAGAAGTACACGTCTCATTGTTTCATCTAAAATATAGTTACCGTTTTTGTTTACAGAAGAATAACATTGGCCGGGTGCGATGGCTCACGCCTGTAATCCCAGCACATTGCTGAGACAGGTGTATCACCTGAGGCCAGGAGTTTGAGACCAGCCTGGCCAACATGGTGAAACCCCGTCACTACTAAAAATACAAAAATCAGCTGGGCATGGTGGCGGGCGCCTGTAATCCCAGCGACTCAGGAGGCTGAGGTAGAATCGCTTGAACCTGGGAGGCGGAGGTTGCAGTGAGCCAAGATCACGCCACTGCACTCCAGCCTGGGAGACAGAGTGAGACTCTTTTTCAAAACAAAACAAAAGAATGACATCTAAAAACCAGATGACTTTGATTACTCCTTGGCCTATGAAGACCTTACTCTGTGGCAAGGGGATAAAGGCTGCATGCCAGACAACAAATGTCAGCAGCTTCGGAGAGACGGCTGTTTCAGGCTACTGTGCCTTAGGGTCATGAACATGGCTTAGATGGCTTCTTGCTTTCCTTTGCTGCTTTGATGCGATTATTACCTCACCTTTTCCTTTTTTTTTTTTTGAGATGGAGTCTCGCTGTGTCGCACAGGCTGGAGTGCAGTGGCGCGATCTTGGCTCACTGCAACCTCCGCCACCTGCGTTCAAGCAATTCTGTTTCAGCTGGTGTGTGCCACTGTGCCCAGCTAATTTTTTATTTTTTTTTAGTAGAGATGGGGTTTCATCATGTTGGTCAGGCAGGTCTTGAACTCCTGACCTCAGGTGATCCACCTGCCTCCCAAAGTGTTGGGATTACATGCGTGAGCCACCGCTCCTTCTTCTAAAAACCTATTTCTGAGGCTTCCTTCCCTCACTGCCACTTTCTCCCCCCACTAGTCACTATATTCCTGCTGATGTAATCACTCCCCCATTCATTGAAGCCTTTGGCCCCTGGATGTTTTCCCTTCTATCCAGGCATCAGTTTAGGTGACTACACTTCACTTCACCTCTCCATTTCTTATCCTCCATTTTCTGCTGTCTGTTCAGCTCCTCTTCAGCTACCCCTTTCCACAGCCACATCTCAGACCTTGTCATAATTACTTAATCACTAATTCAGGCCTCCTCCTATCCTGTCCTCCCCTATCCTCCTGGTTTGCTTATTGTTCCCACCATAGCCATTCCTTGAGTGAGGTTCTCCTATTATTGAGTCGTTTTACTTCCTCCCAATCCAACAGCCCTCACTCACATTGTCTTTTTCTTATTGAACTTACGGTCCCTGGTATATCCTTTGAGTAACGTAACTCTCTACCTATTTTTTTACCCATCTAGCAAAAGTCCATCTGTGGCTTGGCTGAACTGCCATTCATCTTTTGTACTTGTTTCGCCTGTGATTGTACCAGCTACATTACTTGTCTGATGGGAGGGACTGTGTCTTAATTGTTCTTAACTCTAGTACCTATCACATATACTTAGTATTTTAAAGAGTGCTGCGTAGTACTTCAAGATAGCATACAATGAGTGAATTTGACAATGCATGGCCAGATAACCAGAAAAGTTCCAGTGTTACGATGGGTGAGTGTGAATATGAGCACACAGGAGTGGCACAAATCTTTATGTTAGACCAGATAAAGTCTAACCTTGTTTTACCTTTTGATATCAACTCAACTCTATGCATGATCTCAAATTATGTAATTATGTTTTACAGGCAACAAACAGGCATTTCCCACAAACTGTTACAGGGGCATATTTGAGTGGCGTTCGAGAAGCAAGCAAGATTGCAGCATTTTAAGAATTCGGTGGACCCAGCTTTCTTCTGTACCCCAGATGGGGAAATTTGAATCACATGTTAAACCTCAGTTTTATAAGAGGGGGAAAAAACCGTCTCTACATAGTAAAACTGAAATGTTTCTAAGGCGATATGATAATGCAAACCTATTTCATCACTCTAAAAGCACTGACCTCAAAAAACCTTATAAGCACTTAGATTTAATTGCATTTTCCATAGGTTCAACTACTGCTGAAAGTCTGGATTTCAGAATAAAGCAGAATGTAAGTTTCAGTTGAGGCCATGGATTTGATTGTTCCATGGCTGGAAGTTCCCTTTAGATTTCACATTTTATATGGCTGATCAATTTTCATACATTGAGAAACCAAGTCAATCAAGCAGGAATCATTTAAAAACCAGATAAAGCCATGTTTTTCTTCTGTGACAATTTATCAGTATCTTTACCAATGAGCCTTAATTTTTATATAGGTCCAATATTGAGCTTTTACTTAAAATTTAGATAGAACTTTTTTTTGGATACAGCACAAACTCCAGTTGACAGTAAAATGAAGCTTCTAGGTATTTTGTATTGTACATATTTCCTCCTACTGGGTGTTCAAAAGAAATTTAAATTCAAGTACCTTTTGTGATAAAATGTTTTAGATTTGTGCACCCATTGGCAAAACAGGAAAGTTTCCAGATAGGTATTGTATCATTGAGAATGCAGCACAGATAGTGTGGGCTTCACACTATAGACACAGAATATAGCTTTTTCTTAAAGCCAAATTTGGGTGATAGGACACTTTAAATATCCTTAATTTTGGCAACCACTAGCAAAAAAACTTGTCAGAATAATTTAACCAAGCCCCTCTCCACTTCTTTTATTTAAAAGCACTGATTCAATTGCTAGGAATATTTTTGCAGATTTTTCTTTACAGTATTCCATAGGCAGGTCCACTGGAAAACTGCAGAAAAATGTGAGCTCTCCTGGTAAATAGTATACATTTTATAAGCTATATTTTAAAGGCCTAAGAACATGGCAAGTATTTACTTTTATCTTTTTTTTAAAAACACTCATGACAGAAAACAGTTTAATAATATCTCATTCTAAAATAAAACACTGGTTGCAGGGTCTTCAGGATGCCTATTTTGCCAAGAAACTTCAGTATACAGGTTAGAAATATGCTTTTGTTTTTGAACAATAATATACTGGTTTGCTTTAAAGAAGGGACTAAATATGACTTTAAAGAGACTTCAAAATATTGAGTATTTTAAAAATTTAAAAGTAGGTCAGTTTATAACGAGTAAATACCTAACACACCAAGAATGTGCAGTGAACCTCAGGCATTTAAGACACCTCCCCCACCGCCCGCCCCCCGCCCCCCCCAATCAAAGTGTGGTCCCAAAACAAGCCAACAGCTGTATATCTCAAAAGTTAACCCAAGACAACTCTGATATTTAGGTTATTTGTTGAGACTCATTGGTACTGACTGGCAAGTATTCTGCTTTAAAGTATCATGTATTAAAATGTTTAGACAGCATGTGTTTTAAAGTGATAAATGCAAAATGTTAAGTTTGAAATGGTTAACAGTAAATTATTATGTTAGTTTCCAGGCACTTGAACTGTGCTACAAGTAGGGGAAAACCTACTTTAAAGTATGGTAAATGTGTGTTTTAAACTTCCTATCAAGTGACATACTTCATTTGATTTTTTGTTTAAGAAGCCATGGTACTTTTTTCTTGAGTTACTTTGGATATGTTTTTTCAATGCCATCTGAAGATTTTGTAATTGAGTAGCAGTAAATATACAGATTTACAATGTTTTAACTACAGTTCATGAATAGCTGGTTGTGTAAAACTAATAAAAAACTAGACTTTCACATGTACTCTGTACTGTAGTGGTGATACATCCATTTAATAAGTGTGCGTACTCATCAAGAACTTTCATACAGAACAACTCCATTTCCTCACTTCCAAATACTCTATGCATGACTACTTACCTTCTTTATAGCAAATGGTCATAAAATTAACCTTAATTATTCAGTTTTGTGAAGTCACTCCAAGAAAATGGTCCATTACCACAAAAGAGTATTCCAAATTGTATAGGTTATAGGGCTGAATCAATTTAAAAATCCCTTTTCAGAATTATTCCCCATAAGGAAATGCTATATACACCTATAAGATATCAAATGCAAGTGACTTAAAACACCAGTGATTTAGATTTATTTTTATTGACAAGGTTTATAAGAACAAATATTTAAAATCGAAGGCCAATTATTAGGTCTCATTTAGTTGCTTATTTTGTTCACTTGTATTTACCTTTCCCTAGTGTCTGAGTAACTATCAAGAAACAAACCTGTGAAAATACCTGTTAACATTCAACATATATTTTTATATATTTCTGTTCTATGATGCAAAGATATTTTTCAACACTTAATTGGTGCAACAAATGTGTCATTGTGTCATAAACAGCATGTTTTAAAATTCAGATTTAATAAACTGATTTAAGACAGTAAATTTGAAAGACAAAATTAAGTCTCATTCAGGAGTGGTCCATTATGTTGATCATCTAGAATCAACACTGATTAACCAAACTCTGAAAGCCAAGAGCCCCAACTCCAGAGAAACATTAAATTTCTTTAATGTAAAAGTATATTATTTTTGAGACACACTTTGTCAGAGACATCCACGATTGCCTGCACATTATATTCTGGCATTATAATCTGGTACTTTAGTCATAATCGTGAAGCTGGCTAGGTTTCCAGTAAATATCAGCATTTTATATGGGCAAAAGCAGTTAATAAAAATCAGTTCATTTACTGTAAGCCAAATGTGCTTGTACTTAATCCCACCCTTTCCCAAAGTTTTTGAAGCTTTGATAGGTTGATTTTTGGTCTGTCCTTATATAATATAAAACGTACCTACAGACACTTTTACAGAGTTAATACTAAAATTACAAATTGATGACACTTTCGAGGCAAAGCAGGGTAACTGTTCCTTCAGTGTTGCCATCACTGAATTGACTTTCACTGTTCCATCATACTGTTTGGCTGAACACTGACATTCCATAGTCTACAACTATAAAGATACCTACCTATGTGAGTTTAAAAAGTGATCTGCACAAAAGAAATAAAAAAACTTTATATACAACCAATTGTTTTTTAAAAATACAAAAATAACATCTGTCACTTTTGTCATGCTGACAATTTGACATATATACACATGCAGGAGAAAAGTTCCAATTCAGTGATCTGGACAACTGTAGCTTGTATATTTTTAATATGATGGACACACTGCCGCTGAATTTTCACACTGACAGAGATGTGTATTCAAAATATTTCATATACTAAATACTACAATCTCTGTATGTATAAATCCTGGTGATAATAGTTTTTGTTCTACTTGATTAAAAGTATGCCTTAAGCAAGCTAATATTAAGTGCACTAAAAACCACAACAGCTCAAGAATCTATGACCTTATATAAAGAAATCCAAAATGTACAAAATACAACTATAAAAGCAAGGAACAATTAATGCCATGCAAGATTTTAAACTAAAAATGGCATAGAAATGCAATTTAAAACAGCAAACTCAAATTCACATAACACTCAAGATAAAAAGGTCAGCAGTAAGTTCTACTAACGTTGCTTAACAAGGATTTAGAAAAGGAAATACATTCTCTTTGCTGGTATAATGGTATAAATCAGATCTTCAAATCTATGGGAACGAGTCATCTTCTCTGTCCTCTATCTCAAGAAATTAGCTGTAATGAAAGAGAAACATTATTTTGCCATAAATCATAAACCTTTATCCCATTTTTTCCACATCTATTTTACTATTTTGTCCTTCAAAAATCAGTTGAGATCAATACAGAATTACAGCTACCTGCTGATCTTCCCCTCACCTTTGCCTCGTAGACAGGAACTTCCTCAAGTATTTGTGAGAGCAACGTTGAGATGCCCAGCTACCCAGGTACACCATGAGGCCACATCATAATCTGAGTTCAGGTCTTATCACTAACTGTTCAAACTTTAATTTTAAGCTTTAAAGTGGGAATGAGAAGAAATAAATTTCCCTATTATGAAGAAATGTGAGGATCAAATGTGATATTTAGTGACATGAATATTTTGAAAAATATGGAGTATTTTATGTAATTACTTTTGTCTTATATTTCTAAAGTCAAACTTGAAAGACTGAAATATTTACCTCTTTTACAGTTGTTTTTATGAAATCTTTTCTTTCAGTTAAATCATAAGTAGGATAATTTTCATAGACCTATGTATAGTGAAAAGGAAAAATAATGTTAAAAGCAGATTTTAAAATCCAGTAATATTGTCTTTGAATAAAAGCAGGAAATCTGCTACGTGCAAATAGCCACAACCATCCCAACAGTACTCTGGTTAACCCATATGGAATTCTATTCCAAATGAGTATTTTAATAATATTGTATATGATGTGGAAAACTAGCATGCAAACATTCTCAGTGTTTTCAGGCTGAGAGTCTGGAATGAATTAACTAACCATAAACAAGCCAGATGTGATGGCTCACGCCTGTAATTCCAACACTCTGGGAAACCTAGGTGGGAAGATCACTTGAGCCCAGGAATTCGAAACCAGCCTCAGGCAACCTGGTGAGACCTTGTGTCTACAAAAAATTTAAAAAGTAGCCAGGCATGGTCATGCATGCCTGTAATCCCAGCTACTGAGGAGGGTGAAGCAGGAGGATGGCTTGGGCCCAGGAGGTTGAGGTTGCAGTGAGCTGTGTTGGTGGCACTGCATTCCAGCCTGGACCACAGAGTGTGGGGAAAAGAAAGAGAGATCAGATGGTTACTGTGTCTGTGTAGAAAGAAGTAGACCACAGGAGACTCCATTTTGTTCTGTACTAAGAAAAATTCTTCTGCCTTGAGATGCTGTTACTCTCTGAAACATGTGCTGTGTCAACTCAGGGTGAAATGGATTAAGGGCTGTGCAAGATGTGCTTTGTTAAACAGATGCTTGAAGGCAGCATGCTCGTTAACAGTCATCACCACTCCCTAATCTCAAGTACCCAGGGACACAAACACCGCGGAAGGCTGCAGGGACCTCTGCCTAGGAAAGCCAGGTATTGTCCAAGGTTTCTCCCCATGTCATAGTCTGAAATATGGCCTCGTGAGAAGGGAAAGACCTGACCGTCCCCCAGCCCGACACCCTTAAAGGGTCTGTGCTGAGGAGGGTTAGTATAAGAGGAAGGAACGCCTCTTTGCAGTTGAGACAAGAGGAAGGCATCTGTCTCCTGCCTGTCCCTGGGCAATGGAATGTCTCGGTATAAAACCCGATTGTACGTTCCATCTACTGAGATAGGGGAAAAACGCCTTAGGGCTGGAGGTGGGACATGCGGGCAGTAATACTGTAAGGCATTGAGATGTTTATGTGTATGCATATCTAAAGCACAGCACTTAATTCTTTACCTTGACTATGATGCAGAGACCTTTGTTCACATGTTTATCTGCTGACCTTGTCTCCACTATTATCCTATGACCCTGCCACATCCCCCTCTCCGAGAAACACCCAAGAATGACCAATAAATACTAAGGGACCTCAGAAGCCGGCCGGATCCTCCGTATACTGAACGCTGGTCCCCTGAGTCCCCTTATTTCTTTCTCTATACTTTGTGTCTTTTTCTTTTCTAAGTCTCTCGTTTCACCTAACAAGAAACACCCACAGGTGTGGAGGGGCAACCCACCCCTTCAACAGAGCAAGACCCTGTCTCAAAAACAAAAAACCCCAACAAACATGGGTAAAGAAAACATCCAGATAGATCTTAGATAACAGAACTAAGTTCTTTATGTTGGCAAGTCATCTGCCAAGTGTCTTTTAGGGAAAACTTCTTTCTTCTCCAACCCTTGTTATTATCCAGCACCCTACCTATGATTCCACAACCTGAAAAGCAATGAACTGCTTCCTCTACTCCACTGCTCAGTCCCTCCCTAAAGTTAAATCCTAAGACCCAGGTGGTCTCAAGAGTCCTGTACTCCTAAAATTTGACTAAATTTCTGCCTTTTGTCAATTTTCTCAGTCCTGTTATACTTGCTGCTTGACTCAGGTCCTGACTCTATAAGCTCACAGTCTGCAAGCACCCTGTAGGCTTTACTTCCACTGTATAGTTCAGGGTCAGCAACTTTTTCTGTAAAGGGCTAGATGGTACAAATAGTTTCAATTTTGCCAGTCAGTTTCTACTCTGCCAGTCAGTTTCTACTCAACTATGCGTTGTAGTGGCAATGCTGCCATAGACAATAGTTAAATAAATAGATGTGGCTGTATTACAATAAAATTTTGCTTACAAAACCAGGTGACTAAGATAGAATGGATTTAGCCCACAGGCTGTAGTATGCCAACCCTCTAAAATATAGTTCATCATTTAAATTACTCTAATTGTTTGCCCCGGGAGGTTCCAAGATGGCCGAATAGGAACAGCTCCAGTCTACAGCTCCCACCGTGAGCGACGCAGAAGACGGGTGATTTCTGCATTTCCAACTGAGATACCAGGTTCATCTCACTGGGGCTTGTCGGACGGTGGGTACAGGACAGTGGGTGCAGCCAACCGAGCGTGAGCTGAAGCAGGGCAAGGCATCGCCTCACCTGGGAAGCGCAAGGGGTCAGGGAATTCCCTTTCCTAGCCAAAGGAAGCTGTGATAGACGGCACCTGGAAAATTGGGTCACTCCCACCCTAATACTGCACTTTTCCAACAATCTTAGCAAACGGGACACCAGGAGATTATATCCCGCGCCTGGCTCGGAGAGTCCCACGCCCACGGAGCCTCGCTCATTGCTAGCACGGCAGTGTAAGATTTAACTGCAAGGTGGCAGCAAGGCTGGGGGAGGGGCGCCCGCCATTGCTGAGGCTTGAGTTGTAAACAAAGCTGCGAGGAAGCTCGAACTGGGTGGAGCCCACCACAGCTCAAGGAGGCCTGACTGCCTCTGTAGACTCCACCTCTGACAGACTGCCTCAAGTGAGTCCCTGTCCCCTGAGTGGCCTAACTGGGAGACACCTCCCAGTAGGAGCTGACTGACACCTCACACGGCCGGGTGCCACTCTGAGACGAAGCTTCCAGAGGAAGGATCAGGCAGGACAGTATTTGCTGTTCTGCAGCCTCCACTGCTGATACCCAGGCAAACAGGGTCTGCAGTGGACCTCCAGCAAACTCCAACAGACCTGCAGCTGAGGGTCCTGACTGTTAGAAGGAAAACTAACAAAAAGAACATCCACACCAAAACCCCATCTGTACGTCACCATCATCAAAGACCAAAGGTAGATAAAACCACAAAGATGGGAAGAAACCAGAGCAGAAAAGCTGAAAATTCTAAAAATTAGAGCGCCTCTTCTCCTCCAAAGGAACACAGCTCCTCGCCAGCAATGGAACAAAGCTGGACGGAGAATGACTTTGATGAGTTGAGAGAAGGCTTCAGACGATCAAACTTCTCCAAGCTAAAGGAGGATGTTCGAACCCATCACAAAGAAGCTAAAAACCTTGAAAAAAGATGAGACGAATGGCTAACTAGAATAACCAGTGTAGAGAAGTCCTTAAATGACCTGATGGCGCTGAAAACCATGGCACGAGAACTACGTGATGCATGCACAAGCTTCAGTAGCCGATTCGATCAACTGGAAGAAAGGGTATCAGTGATTGAAGAGCAAATGAATGAAATGAAGCGAGAAGAGAAGTCTGGAGAAAAAAGAGTAAAAAGAAACAAACAAAGCCTCCAAGAAACACGGGACTATGTGAAAAGACCAAATCTACATCTGATTGGTGTACCTGAAAGTGACGGGGAGAATGGAACCAAGTTGGAAAACACTCTTCAGGATATTATCCAGGAGAACTTCCCCAATCTAGCAAGGCAGGCCAACATTCAAATTCAGGAAATACAGAGAACACCACAAAAATACTCCTCGAGAAGAGCAACTCCAAGATACATAATTGCCAGATTCACCAAAGCTGAAATGAAGGAAAAAATGTCAAGGGCAGCCAGAGAGAAAGGTCGGGTTACCCACAAAGGGAAGCCCATCAAACTAACAGCGGATCTCTAGGCAGAAACTCTACAAGCCAGAATAGAGTGAGGGCCAATATTCGACATTCTTAAAGAAAAGAATTTTCAACCCAGAATTTCATATCCAGCTAAACCAAGCTTCATAAGTGAAGGAGAAATAAAATCCTTTACAGACAAGCAAATGCTGAGAGATTTTGTCACCACCAGGCCTGCCTTACAAGAGCTCCTGAAGGAAGCACTAAACATGGAAAGGAACAACCGGTACCAGCCACTGCAAAAACATGCCAAATTGTAAAGACCATCGATGCTAGGAAGAAACTGCATCAACTAACGAGCAAAATAACCAGCTAACATCATAATGACAGGATCAAATTCACACATAACAACATTAACCTTAAATGTAAATGGGCTAAATGCTCCAATTAAAAGACACAGACTGACAAACTGGATAAAGAGTCAAGACCCATCAGTGTGCTGTATTCAGGAGACCCATCTCATGTGCAGAGACACACATAGGCTCAAAATGAAGGGATGGAGGAAGATCTACCAAGCAAATGGAAAACAAAAAAAACAGGGGTTGCAATCCTAGTCTCTGATAAAACAGACTTTAAACCAACAAAGATCAAAAGAGACAAAGAAGGGCATTACATAATGGTAAAGGGATCAATTCAACAAGGAGAGCTAACTATCCTAAATATATATGCACCCAATACAGGAGCACCCAGATTCATAAAGCAAGTCCTTAGAGACCTACAAAGAGACGTAGACTCCCACACAATAATAATGGGAGACTTTAACACCACACTGCAACATTAGTCAGATCAGTGAGACAGAAAGTCAACAAGGATACCCAGGAATTGAACTCAGCTCTGCACCAAGCGGACCTAACAGACATCTACAGAACTCTCCACCCCAAATCAACAGAATATACATTCTTCTCAGCACTACATCGCACTTATTCCAAAATTGACCACATAGTTGGAAGTAAAGCACTCCTCAGCAAATGTAAAATTTTAACAAACTCTCTCTCAGACCAAAGTGCAATCAAACTAGAACTCAGGATTAAGAAACTCACTCAAAACAGCTCAACTACATGGAAACTGAACAACCTGCTCCTGAATGACTACTGGGTACATAACAAAATGAAGGCAGAAATAAAGATGTTCTTTGAAACCAATGAGAAAAACGACACAACATACCACAATCTCTGGGACACATTTAAAGCAGTGTGTAGAGGGAAATTTATAGCACTAAATGCCCACAGGAGAAAGCAGGAAAGATCTAAAATTGACACCCTAACATCACAATTAAAAGAACTAGAGAAGCAAGAGCAAACACATTCAAAAGCTAGCAGAAGGCAAGAAATAACTAAGATCAGAGCAGAACTGAAGGAGACACAGACACAAAAAAACCTTCAAAAAAAGCAATTAATCCAGGAGCTGGTTTTTTGAAAAGATCAATAAAATTGATAGACCGCTAGCAAGACTAATAAGAAAAGAGAGAAGAATCAAACAGACGAAATAAAAAATGATAAAGGGGATATCACCACCGATCCCACAGAAATACAAACTACCATCAGAGAATACTACAAACACCTCTACGCAAATAAACTAGAAAATCTAGATGAAATGGATAAATTCCTGGACACATACACCCTCCCAAGACTAAACCAGGAAGAAGTTGAATCTGAATAGACCAATAACAGGTTCTGAAATTGAGGCAATAATTAACAGCCTACCAACCAAAAAAAGTTCAGGACCAGATGGATTCACAGCTGAATTCTACCAGACGTACAAGGAGGAACTGATACCATTACTTCTAAAACTATTCCAATGAATAGAAAAAGAGGGAATCCTCCGTAACTCATTTTATGAGGCCACCATCATCCTGATATCAAAGCCTGGCAGAGAGACAACAAACAAAGAGAATTTCAGACCAATATCCCTGATGAACATCGACGCAAAAATCCTCAATACAATACTGGCAAACCGAATCCAGCAGCAAATCAAAAACCTTATCTACCATGATTAAGTGGACTTCATCCCTGGCATGCAAGGCTGGTTCAACACACGCAAATCAACAAACGTAATCCATCATATAAACAGAACCAAAGACAAAAACCACAAGATTATCTCAATAGATACAGAAAAGGCCTTCGACAAAATTCAACAGCCCTTCATGCTAAAAACTCTCAATAAATTAGGTAGTGATGTGACGTATCTCAAAATAATAAAGAGCTATTTATGACAAACCCACAGTCATCATATTGAATGGGCAAAAACTGGAATCATTCCCTTTGAAAACTGGCACAAGACAGGGATGCCCTCTCTCACCACTCCTATTCAACATAGTGCTGGAAGTTCTGGCCAGGGCAATCAGGCAGGAGAAAGAAAATAAAGGGTATTCAATTAGGAAAAGAGGAACTCAAATTGTCCCTGTTTGCAGATGACATGATTCTATATTTAGAAAACCCCATCGTCTCAGCCCAAAATCTCCTTAAGCTGATAAGCAACTTCAGCAAAGTCTCAGGATACAAAATCAATGTGCAAAAATCACAAGCATTCCTATACACCCATAACAGACAGAGAGCCAAATAATGAGTGAATTCCCATTCACAATTGCTTCAAAGAGATTAAAATACCTAGGAATCCAACTTAACAAGGGATGTGAAGGACCTCTTCAAGGAGAACTACAAGCCACTACTCAACAAAATAAAAGAGGACACAAACAAATGGAAGAACATTCCATGCTCAAGGATTGGAAGAATCAATATCTTGAAAATGGCCATAGATAATTTATAGATTCAATGCCATCCCCATCAAGCTACCAATCACTTTCTTCATAGAACTGGAAAAAACTAAAGTTCATATGGAATCAAAAAAGAGCCCGCATTGCCAAAACAATCTTAAGCCAAAAGAACAAAGCTGGAGGCAGCACACTACCTGACTTCAAACTATACTATAAGGCTACAGTAACCAAAACAGCATGGTACTGGTACCAAAACAGAGATATAGACCAATGGAACAGAACAGAGCCCTCGGAAATAATACCACATACATCTTCAACCATATGATCTTTGACAAACCTGACAAAAACAAGAAATGGGGAAAGGATTCCCTATTTAATAAATGGTGCTGGGAAAACTGGCTAGCCATATGTAGAAAGCTGAAACTGGATCGCTTCTTTACACCTTATACAAAAATTAATTCAAGATGGATTAAAGACTTAAACATTAGACCTAAAACCATAAAAACCCTAGAAGAAAACCTAGGCAATACCATTCAGGACATAGGCATGGGCAAGGACTTCATGTCTAAAACACCAAAAGCAATGGCAACAAAAGCCAAAATTGACAAATGGGATCTAATTAAACTAAAGAGGTTCTGCACAGCAAAAGAAACTACCATCAGAGTGAACAGGCAACCTACAGAATGGGAGAAAATTTTTGCAATCTACTCATCTGACAAAGGGCTAATATTCAGAATCTACAAAGAACTTAAATTTACAAGAAAAAATCAAACAACCCCATCAAAAAGTGGGCAAAGGATATGAACAGACACTTCTCAAAAGAAGACATTTATGCAGCCAACAGACACATGAAAAAATGCTCATCATCACTGGCCATCAGAGAAATGAAATCAAAACCACAAGGAGATACCATGTCACACCAGTTAGAATGGAGATCATCAAAAAGTCAGGAAACAACAGGTGCTGGAGAGGATGTGGAGAAATAGGAACACTTTTACACTGCTGGTGGGACTTTAACTAGTTCAACCATTGTGGAAGACAGTGTGGCGATTCCTCAAGGATCTAGAACCAGAAATACCATTTGACCCAGCCATCCCATTACTGGGGATATACCCAAAGGATTATAAATCATGCTACTATAAAGACACATGCACATGTTATGTTTATTGCGGCACTATTCACAATAGCAAAGACTTGGAACCAACCCAAATGATAGACTGGATTAAGAAAATGTGGCACATATACACCATGGAATACTATGCAGCCATAAAAAAGGATGAGTTCATGTCCTTTGTAGGGACATGGATGAAGCTGGAAACCATCATTCTCAGCAAACTATCGCAAGGACAGAAAACCAAACACTGCATGTTCTCACTCATAGGTGGGAATTGAACAATGAGAACGCTTGGACACAGGAAGGGGAACATCACACATCGGGGCCTGTTGTGGGGTGGGGGGGACGGGGGAGGGATAGCATTAGGAGATACACCTAATGTAAATGACCAGTTAATGGGTGCAGCACATCAACATGGCACATGGATATATATATATATATATATATGTAACCTGCACGTTGTGCACATGTATCCTAGAACTTAAAAGTATTAAAAAAAAGAAAAAAATTGTTTGCCCCTTGTTCTTTCCCTGCAAAACCCCAATCCCGAATTGGTCTAACCACTCATTTTTCTATGGTTAAGCCCAGACTACAGATTGCTGTGGGAAAATAACTTTGAAGAGACTGGTCTCATTTTCAGTTCATGGCATTCATCTTCAAAGGCTCCTCCCCCTGGAGCTCCCAGTCAGGCTCTCTCCTTTCATTTCCACCAATGGCAGTTTCATCTCCTTATTCAAGTGTCTCACACTGCTACTGTCAGCCAAAAAGCCATTATTATGAATTCCTTCAATTTTCTGACAGCACTTTCCCCTCCAGTTGTATCTGGATTCATCAATGGTTCTTAATTTTGCCTCCACAGGACCACCCTTCACCTCTCCTGTAACTTCTCCTTTCCCACCAAATTGCTTTCTCCCCTCCACCCCTACTACCCATTAAAAATACTTTCTCACCTACTCCCATTTACCTACTATTTTCCTTCCAAAGACAGCTGCTTGAAACAGAAGTTACTTTGTTCATTTTCCTCACTATTCATTAATAACTCTTGCTTTTACCACCCTATGTCATCGTCTCCTAATTGCAGACTCCAAAACAGGTCAGTTCCTTCTCACCTGACCTCTCCATGTTATTAATCCCTTTAAAAAATTTACATGAAGGTATTCACAAAAATCCTTCTAATGGACAGAACTAATTTCTCTTTGACTTCCTCTCCACTCCACACTGTCATTTTAATGATGATATAACTGGGTGTCCTGCCTCTCTCATCTCATCCTTTGCTATTGCATTGTTCTTAATGTTTCTAGGATAACTTTTAAAAATAAAAATATGATTGCGTTATGCCCCTGCTAAATCTCAATAATCTACATAGCCTCTGAATTCCTCATTTATTTCAGGAAGAAACTCAAACTCTAACATGGCATATTTAAGATCTGCAAAACTCTAATATTTTCTCCTAACTTCTGTGAGGACTTCTTTCCAATCCTAGTCTTGAGACATGTTGAACTAATACTATTCCTTTCAATTATTGTTTTGGTTAATGTGTTATTGTTCCTCAACTGTATAGAATGGGTGATGCTCCACTAGGAAATTCAGTTAAGAGCTCTTCCAAGATGCTTTTCCAGATTCCCCCAGCCTCAAGTAGGGTGCTTGTTCTGTGGCACTGCAGTACCTTCCATATTCTAACACAGCCCTCGCTTACAATATTTTAATTACTAAAATATTTATCTCTTTCCATCCCACTAGACTGTAAGCTCCTCTTGAAAGCTAAGTAATGGCTTCTCTGGTTCCACCTGTAACATTAAAAAAAATTTTTTTTTGGTAGAGACGGGATCTCACTATGCTGCCCAGGTTGGTCTTGAACTCCTGGCCTCAAGCAGTCCTCCTGCCTCAGCCTATCAAAGTGTTGGGATTACAGGCGTGAGCCACCACATCTAGCTTCTACCTGTAACATTTAGCCCAGTGCCTGAAATGTAGTAGAGAATCAATGAATGGTGAATGAATGAACAAAATAATAATCAATGTCCTTTAAAAAAGCACAGACTATTTCACTTTTGGTACATTCCAAATTGTAATTTTATTTTACCCCAACAGACAAGTTTCTAAAATTTCCATAGAATCCCTATGGAATCATATTCAAGACAAGGCCACTTTATTTCCTGAGAAGTATTAGAAATATTAGAAAGACGCTGCAGAAGTCTGAGTTAAGAACCTAATCTATAACAGCTCATTTATCACACTAAGAAGAGAATAAGACGGTTCATGAGATTCTGCTTCTTTAAACTAACATAAACTAAGGATACATCAATAGAAACAACCTACAGATCAGAAAAAGTTTCCTATGTGGTTTGGAATGTGTCACTTTAATTTTATTCACTCTAACTTTATTCATTTTAATGTTGTTTATAAAATAACTCTATTAGGACAGAGACTTTGACTATTTTAAGTGGTATCCCAGCACCTGTAAGGAGATCTGGCATATAGTAGTTCAATAAATCTTTCTTCAATAAGTGAATGCACGTAAGTATTTAGCTTCAAATTCAGAGATAAGTGAAAGAATTTTTCTAGCAAAAGCAAAATAATCTAAACATTTGTCTAATTACCTTTTTGCAAATCTGTTTCATTGTGACTTCTTCCAAGTTAGCACTGGCCAGTAATTTCTTTATTGTTTCCTTTAACTCTTCATCTGTAGGGGGTTTCTTCAACTTTTTAATTAAAGGTTCATCATCTGAACTATCCTCAGACTCACTTTCTAAAAGTAATATAATAATAATAATTTTTCTTACATAGTAAATTAACATTTAACAAAGGCTGAGATGAATTTTAAGCTTTCAACAGATTCTCAAAGGGGTACTGGATCAAAAAAATTATAAATCACTACTCTACAGTTACCTATAAAACATGCATACAAATTTTAGTCAATTTGAAAAATCAAAAACTATAAAAAACTGGTATACAGGTTAGGCATCCCTAATCCAAAAATCCAAAACCTGAAATGTTCCAAAATCCAGCTTTTCAGAGCACCAACATGACACCACCAGGAGGTAATTCCATACCCGACCTCGTGTGACGGGTCGCAGTCAAAACTTGGTTTCAGGCCAAGGGCAGTGGTCCAAGCCTGTAAACCCAGTGCTCTGGGGGGCCAAGATAGGAGACTCGCTTGAGTCCAGCAGTTCAAGGCTACAGTGAGCTGTAACGGCACCACTGCAATAAATAATTTATTTAGTTAAAATATTAAACTACCTTCAGGCTATTTAAGATGAATATGAAACATGAATGAATTTCATGTTTAGACTGGGTCCCATCCCCAAGATATCTCTCTCTCTGTCTCTCTCTCTATATATATATATTGCAAAATCTGAATCACTTCCTGTCCCAAGCATTTCAGATAAGGGATATTCAACCTGTATTACTTCTCCCCGCAATGTTCTCTGCAGTTTACCTGTTTCTCCCACACACTTAAATACTATGTACAACATATTAATATATGCTATATCTTTAAAGTTGCTGATTAATGTTATTTCTAACATACCTTTTTTGGAACTGTTTTGATTCTTCTTGGTGGTGCTGCTATCTGCTTTCTTAACATTGGCACTTTTCACAGATTTTTTACTTTTAGAAGTAGCTTTCTGTTTAGGTTTTTCTCTTTTGGCTGTCTTTTTTGGTGGCTGTTACAAAAGAAAGTAAAAGTACACATATTGATGAGATTCAATGCTATCCCATCCCATCCCTCTACTTCCCCTATGCCCCTTAATAATATTAGAGAAAACCAATATATTTGGTATCAGCAATTAAAAATTCTTTTTGAGAGATGACTAATATACAACAATTTTATCCCAACACAAGTCTAAGCATGACAAATCACAATCACACACACACAAGAGTTGCCCATATTTATTCAACACTATGGATAAACTACATATGCATTACTCTACTTAATCTTGGGGGGGACCCCTAAATATAGATAATATTATCTTCTCTTATTTATGTTCTCTCTCTTTCAACTGGAATCTTTTTTTTTTTTTTTTTTTTTTTTGAGACAGAGTCTTGCTGCGTCACCCTGGCTGGAGTGCAGTGGCCCGATCTTGGTTCACTGCAACCTCTGCCCTCCCGGGTTCAAGCGAATTCTCCTGTCTCTGCCTCCCTAGTAGCTGGGATTACAGGTGCTCGCCACCACACCCGGCTAATTTTTGTATTTTTAGTAGAGATGAGGTTTTGCCATGTTGGCCAGGCTGGTCTTGAACTCCTGACCTCAGATGATCTGCCTGCCTTGGCCTCCCAAAGTGCTGGGATTACAGGCATGAGCCACCACACCTGGCCTAGAATCTTGTGTTCACTGATGTTTCCCTAACTCCTAAAATAGTCTCTGGTATACAGTAGTTGCTCAATAAATACTTATGACTATATGAGGAAACTAAGGCTCAGTGTGGTTACCTTGTCCACAGTCACATTAATAAACATGCAAGATTCAAATATAGATGTGACTCCAGAACTTGTGTTCTTAAACACTAACCCATAGGTGATTAGACACAAACAAAATACATAAATATGGATAGATTAAAATGACAGGCCAGGCATGGTGGCTCATGCCTGTAATTCCAGCACTTTGGGAGGTCAAGGCGGGCGGATCATGAGATCAAGAGACTGAGACCATCCTGGTCAACATGGTGAAACACTGTCTCTCCTAAAAATACAAAAATTAGCTGGGTGTGGTGGTGGGCACCTGTAGTCTCAGCTACTCAGGAGGCTGAGGCAAGAGAATTGCTTGAACCCTGGAGATGGAGGTTGCAGTGAGTGGAGATCATGACACTGCACTCCAGGAGAGAGACTGTCTCAAAAAAAAAAAAAAAAAGACAAAATCAGAGTTCATACTTTGTCTCATGTGGAGCCTGTGAAATTAGAAAGCATTAATTCTTAGTTTAATTAATGTTCCCAAAGGAAAAGCTTCCTATTAAACATTCCAAGATATTTTAAATTCTCCCATTTACACACTAAAACTACTGCGATCACTTGACAGAACGTTTCTCCAAATGTTTAACACTCTTGATTCCTGAGAGTTATCCTAAAGCAACCTGGTTTTTTTTTTTGAGATGGAGTCTCGCTCTTGTTGCCCAGGCAGGAGCAGGAGTGCAATGGCATGATCTCGGCTCACCGCAACCTCTGCCTCCCGGGTTCAAGTGATTCTCCTGCCTCAGCCTCTTGAGTAGCTGGGATTACAGGCATGCGCCACCACACCCGGCTACTTTTGTATTTTTAGTAGAGACGGGGTTTCTCCATGTTGGCCAGGCTGGTCAGGAACTCCCGACCTCAGGTGATCCACTCACTTTGGTCTCTCAAAGTGCTGGGATTACAGCCGTGAGCCACTGTGCCCGGCCAAGTCAACCTGTTTTTAAAGACATAAGCACTGTGTTGAACCTATCCTTTAGATTAAAGTATACACATCAATCTGTTCCAAAAGTGGCCTCAAGCTATTCATTGGATTTTAGTGTCTTTTTTTTTTTTTTTTTTTTTTTAAAAAAAAGAGATGGTCTCGCTATGTTACCCATGCTAGACTCAAACAATCCTCCCACCTCAGGCTCCTGAGTAGTTGGGACTACAGGCACACACCACCTCACCTGGCTGGATTTTAGTGTTTGTCTTTCTTTTTGCTAATATACCATCACTGTACCTATTTATACAAGCCTATCATCACCCTGCACTACCTCAACAATATACCACTGGCTGGGAAGCATGTAGTTTAACTGCTACTAAAAAATACATTTTTAAGGTGTCAAGGGGCTGACATGCTTCTAAAAGTAAGTACATGAATTTCCCATGGACTTTTGCGATTTACAGGCCATTTTAACTTACTTCCTAATCCTAAGAGATGTTCTAGATGGTGTGGGGCTATGGGACAAGTATCAATGATTTGTCGTTTTTTTATGACGAACTTAAACTAAGTTTTAAGGTTCATTAAGTGTCCACCCAGTTCATGTGAACTATATATTAGGCTCTGAAAGGGAATCCTAAAAATTCTTAAGTTCTTTAGCACACTTAATACACAGAATACAATAATCATGATTATATATCATTTTTTAGTTAAACGGTAATAAAATCTGGACTTGCAGGTACAAGAAAGTAAGTTATTACTGAAAGGGTTGAAGGTTGAGCAAAAGAAACAATATCATCAATAATTACTCAATCTCCATTCAAATTAGAAAATCAGAATTAGATAACTAAAATACTTCCAAAGCCTTTTAAGGCTTGCCATTAAAATTTTAGATGTGATACACAACATGACATCATTTTAAAACCTGCAAATTGTGAGTAGTGACAGTTTGTCAAAGCATAAACATTTATAATAATAAATAACAAGCCATCTCCATAAAATCTTACTTCTGTATAACAAAACCACATCTTTCTACATTTCATATCTGCTGTAAAGGATAATGTTCTACAGTTTTTCTAAACGGACAACCAGGCCTGTCATCTATTAAAATTTCTAAAAGACTGCAAATATACTGCACAAGCACTAAAGAAAAATATACGACATAATAGTTCAAAGAGTACAGGCTCTAGCAGCAAGCTGCCTGGTTTCAAATTCCAGCCCCAGTACATCTCTGGGCCCTTGTCTCATTTACAAAACAAAAGAAACAATAGTTCCTATGGTTTTATGGGGAGTAGATACATTAACAGATGAAAAGTATTTTTGGTAGTACCTGGCAAATAGTAAACACTAAATATTAACTATTATTACTGAGTGCTTCCTTTTGCAGAATGAGAAATTCTTTGATTATGCAAATATAATTTCCTCCAATAACTTAAACTTTCTAAGTGTTTTCAAAAAGCAGGGTGCAGTGGCTCAATCCTGTAATCCCAACACTTTAGGAGGCTGAGATGGGAGGATCACTTGAGGCCAGAGGTTCAAGACCAGCCTGGGCAAAATCAGAAGACCCTATCTCTAAAAAACTAATTTTCTTTTTTTTAAAAGCAGGGCAGATACACAGACTGGAAATTATAAACACAGTGAGACAAACTCAATAACAACTGTATTAACTAGCCATGATATATCGCACTTACTTCACTACATTATAGTAGATACGACATGGCCCGCAAACATCTATAGTAATACGTCATGTCATTTATACAGAATTTCATTTATCTTTAGCAACCAGCTGTAAATTCTTCTGTGACAAAGTTAAGGTAGGAATTTGGTAAAGTCTCTTTTTTAGATTAATGCTGAGTTAAGAAATCATGAAAGCTGAACAGTAAAACTACTAATGAATTTGTATCTTGTGCTTTAGTCCTGCAGGTTTTCATCACTTCGGCTGCCCTGAAGGTTATTAGGTATAGGAGGAATAGGTCTCTGGAAAATGGGGGCATCTCAAAGGACATACCTTGGTATTAGGACACAATGGACAATTTTTGTCTGTCAAGGTAAATATGGGTAACCAGAATTTGGAGGTAACAGAAAAAAACACAGGGAGAGCTGACAAGGCAAGTTAAACAATGTCCCCTTTAATTTTACATGAACTTTCAAATCTTCATTACTTTCATTCCTCCCCTGTACTTAGGAAAACCCCACTCATGATTCTAAACCTAGCTTAACAATTACCTCCTCTAAATCTTTCACAATACCATCAATTTGATTAATCCATACTCTCAAAGTACTTGGCCTGCAATTCATTATCCCTACTTTATGGAAGGTATTGTGAAGCTGTAAGAACAAGGGTGTTACAGCCAAACATCCTGATTCCTGAGCACCTGTATATGTTTTTGAAGCTCCAGAGGTGACTCATCTAGCTATACCACATAAAATGAAAAGCACATTTATGGACTAGATTTGTCACCAAGACTTTTCTTTGAAGTGCCAGATAGTAAATATTTTCAGCTTTCCCGGCTACATATAATCTTTGTTGCATATTCATTTTTTTAAACAATCATTTAAAAATGGAAAAACCATTCTGAGCTTGAGGGCTGTATAAAAACAG